>NC_000010.11:12585757-12737272 GCF_000001405.40 Homo sapiens | reverse complement strand
GCCCCTGGCCAGTAGAAAGAGAGTCAAGGCCAGCCCAGGACAGGAACAACAGGGAGGGAAAGAAAGTGAAGACCCTGAGGAGAGAGAGGTGAGAGGTCAGAGGCAGTAGCTGATGGATGGGGGCGAGGGTGGGAGGAAGGCCCAGGGACAGTGTTAGAGAGGCCAATGTGTGTCTGTCCAGCCCCTGGCCCCTGGGACTCAGGCTACGCACCTTCATGCCCTCCCCTGCAGCTGCATGCATTGAGATTGGTCAACGGATGCTCGCTGTTCTCTTGGGTCCCTAAGCTAGAATGAAGCAACCTTGGGGCAACTCATGGCTGTGTCCAGCTCCTCCAAGGGAGCAGAAGAGGAACCAACAGACAGAGAGGAGAAGACCGGAAAGCCAGAGAGTGATCGGGAGAGAGAAACGCAGGGGCTATTTGTCCCTGACGCAGATGCTGAGTTCTGCCAGTTCCTCGTGGGTTTCTCTCACTGGCAACCAAAGGAGTCTTGACTAAATTAAATACCACGCTGGCTCTGGCGAGAGCGGCCAGGGAGATGGTGGTGCTATTCATCAAAAGAAGCATCCCAGGAGGAAGAAAAAAAGTTTGGAAGCACATCGTGTCAACATATCCCAGTAAATGCATACAGCAGGCACTTCTACCTAAGCATATGAACTAGATTTCTTATTCATTTTTCATGTATTCTCTGTTGGGTTTTGTATTGAAATATTTTCCAAAATTGTAAAACACAAATCTTATTTAAGAAGTGCCAGAAAACTTTCAAGGATATTATAATTTGTTTTGCACTTCTAGAAATAAATTGCTTTAAAAAAATCAATAAATTCTCAGTATTACTGTTACTAGAACTCGCCGAATAGAATTATCCAGCTGAACACAATTACGATGCTTATCTAGTCAACAGTCAGAGACCTGAGCCTCTGGGGCAAGGCTACTTGGCAGTACATGTTGCTCTTATACCACTCCTTGGGGACGCCGAGGGGAAGGTGGTGGCAGGAGACAGGACACATGGGCAGGGCCACGCCATAACAGAGAACAGGAGAAGTTGAGGGGAGGCAAGAGAGGAGGCAAGTGAGCATGGTCTTCCTCACTGGGGAAGAAACTCGTAGGCTGCCTGGAGCAACCATCAGAGGCTCTCTGGAAGTCCTGCCGTTTGGCGCCATCATGGAAATTTCTGGATGAAGAAAGGCCACATTTCAAAACCTGCTGCAGATCTGGCTGTCCCCTGCATGAGCTCCCTCTGCCAGCAAGGCCTTGCAGCCAGTGCCAAGTCTCAACCAGAGGGAGCCACAGTATTCACTGGCTCAGTGCTATGTTCAAATTCCTCCATGTGCCTACAGTGGAATTTCAATCAAAATCAGCTTATCCTTCTCTTTCCTTTGCAATCTGAGTGTGGTGCCAGCCATCTCTCAACCCCACAGCAATGGAGTATCTGGAGCGCAAGGAGGGGTTACAGCTTCTTAATTTCTTATTTCTTAAAAAAAAAAAAAGATGCTGACTGTGCCACCCCATAACTCTTCGGGGATTAGAACGTGCCAGGCTGCCAGCTCTGTATCTCGGCCTACTGTTCCTTGAGTCAAGGTCATGGCAGGACAATTCAGCATCAGGTCTGGTACAGAGAGACGGTTGGTACCTCTAGAGGTGAGAGTGACCAGCTCCTTTTGGAGAGCCAGGTTTCTGCCATCACTGTCCCTTGGACACGGCATCGAAGGGCAGTGGCGAAGAGACCGAAGGTTCGCCCCTCCGCTTCTTGCTCCCTGAATTGAAAAAAAGATACTTTCTTTTCTTTTTTTTTTGAGACGGAGTCTCGCTCTGTCGCCCAGGCTGGAGTGCAGTGGCGCAATCTCGGCTCACTGCAGGCTCCGCCTCCCGGGTTCACGCCATTCTCCTGCCTCAGCCTCCCGAGTAGCTGGGACTACAGGCGCCCGCCACCACGCCCGGCTAATTTTTTAATATTTTTAGTAGAGACGGGGTTTCACCGTGATAGCCCAGGATGGTCTTGATCTCCTGACCTCGTGATCCGCCCGCCTCGGCCTCCCAAAGTGCTGGGACTACAGGCGTGAGCCACCGCGCCCGGCCGACACTTTCGTTTCTTAAACTCACATCTGTAAAACGGGCATAATTATTCCACTTATCTCTCGAGATCATCAGGGGACTGAGGAAGACCTATGAAAAGCAGACACAGAGAAAGCACTTGACAAAGGCTAGCCATTATTATTACTATTAATATTCTATTATTCTAAGGCACTTCAGGCTAGGTAAATGCTTGGAATCACACCTCCACTGCACAAATGTGAAACAAGTAAGTATTTACCATTTTAACAAATGCTTACTGAATGTTTATTCTGTGGCAGCGACTCTTGGAGGTGTGAGGAGAGACCTGTCCAAATGCCCAAATCCACCAATAATGAGCTACTTTTTCTGCCCAACTCTGTTGCAAACAGCAGGCCTGAAAGGCAGCTTGAAAGGATGCAGACAACAAAGAAAGAGAAAGCAAATTTGATACAAGTAAGAAAAATCGGGCTAAGGAGGGGATTAAATCTAAGATGAGGAGTAGGGAGAGGTTGGTGCCCAAGGCCAGGCCATGAAGTTGTCTGGACTTGGTGGAAGCAGGTCACAAACACAGCTCTGGGATTTTTCTAGTATCAGAGTCAAAGAGGGATACAGCCAAGTCAAAGAGGTTTGTGTCTATATATATATATACACATATGTGTATATATATACATATATACATATGTGTGTATATATATACGTGTATATATATGTGTGTGTGTATATATATACATATGTGTATATATACACATATGTGTATGTGTATATATACACATATGTGTGTGTGTATATATATATACATGTGTGTGTGTGTGTATATATATATATATCTATATCTATATCTATATATATATATATATATATATATATATATATTTTTTTTTTTTTTTTTTTTTTTTGAGATGGAGTCTCGCTGTGTTGCCCAGGCTGGAGTGCAGTGGCATGATCTCGGCCTCACTGCAACCTCCAGCTCCCAGGTTCAAGCGATTCTCCTGTTTCAGCCTTTTGAGTAGCTGGGACTACAGGCATGCACCAGGCTACTTTTTTTGTAGTTTTAGTACAGACAGGGTTTCACCATGTTGGCCAGGGTGGTCTCGAACTCCTGACCTCAAGTGATCCACGCGCCTCGGACTCCCCACGTGCTGGGCTTACAGGCAGGAGCCACGGCACCCGGCCTGTGTCTATAATTTAACACAAACCACTGCTCAGGGGAAGCACAAGAGATCTAGGATTTAGCCCACCACAGGGGGCTTCATCCACAGTCTTGGAGACACTTATGATGTGATCATCTCACTTGAAATCTGTGGTCCTTCAAGAACGGTTAAATAATTTAGAAAATGAGTATACATACAATGACTGTATATATAATAGATATGTACGGTTTTGAAATTTACAATACAATGAACATTTTCAATTCTTTGGCCAAAAAAAGCAAATTCAATTCAGGAACCATCGAACCATTTGAGCCAAATAACTCAAAGAAATGCTAACACGCCCTGTCATTCAAAACAAATTGGATTCGGGTGTATGGCATAACATAAATGAAATTTACTGAATGAAGAGCCACTGGCTGGCATTTTAATTCTGATGTTTCTAGAACACTACCTGGTGATATAATTCTTCTGTGGCTATACACGCTGTGGAATGGTTAATCCTGAATAACACTGAGGATTGATGAAATGAGCCCATGGTCTGATTATTGCCTAGTCTGATGGAAATTCAATTAATTAAAGAAGCCACTCTATGCCAGGAAGTGTTGAAAATTTCCTGCTGTGCTTTTAATGACATCCACCTGGTCAACGAAGCCAGAAACCTGGGAGATTGTTTATGACTCCCCACCTAACATTAACTCAGGTTTTCAATTCTGCAATTTTTCTCTTAAAATATTACTATTCTCTCCTTCTAACTCCATCTTCACTGCTACTAAGGAAGATGTCTTCTTGGTCTCTCTCAGCTGTTAGAATATCTGTCTAGCTTCACCCTGAATGACTCATCCTCCTCCAATTTACCTTCATACTACTTTGGAACAAAGGCTCAGAAAAGGTGGCAAATAAACCTTATTTAGAAAACAACTGGTGCCATATAAGAATAGAAAGGTAAACTGCCACTTTGCTCTGGACTGGAGGCACAGGGTCTCGCACAAAGATTTGGACCAGGGAGTGACATCGTATGTATCGTAATTGCTATATGCTGGGAAGCATGCTTAACATTTTTTTGTACATTATCTTATTTAACCCTCAGAACTGCTCTGTCTTTGAGGCATGTGCTATTGTCTCCATTCAACAGATGAGGAAACTGAGAAGGAGGGAGGTTAGTGGCTTGTCAGATGTAAGTGGTGGAGGGAAGATCTCAAATGAGGGCCCTGTTGGCTCCATCGCCTGCACTGTAATCATGGGCTCTAGGTGATCCTATCGGATGCTAGTACCATTGCCCCTCATTGTTGCTGTGAACCAGATTGATAGGGTTTGGCTGTGTCCCCACCCAAATCTCAACTTGAATTGTATTTCCCAGAATTCCCATGTGTTGTGGGAGGGACAGGGGGCGGGGGGGGCGGGGGTAATTGAATAATGGGGGCCCATCTTTCCTGTGCTATTCTCCTGATGGTGAATAAATCTCACGAGATCTGATGGGTTTACCAGGGGTTTCCACTTTTGCCTCCTCCTCATTTTCTCTTGCGGCCACCACGTAAGAAGTGCCTTTCGCCTCCCGCCACGATTCTGAGGCCTCCCCAGCCATGTGGAACTGTAAGTCCAATTAAACCTCTTTTTCCTCCCAGTCTTGGATATGTCTTTATCAGCAGCGTGAAAATGGACTAATAATACACAGATCATGTCCCTTATTTTTCAATGATTTCAGCTCCTCACTCACTGTCATACTGTCTAACATATTCCTATCTTGATACCTACAAACCTCAACATGCATGGAGATGACCCTGCCCATATCTGAGCCTCTCAGGTATTTGTTATTTATTTATTTTGTTTTAGACAGAGTCTTTCTCTGTTGCCCAGGCTGGAGTGCAATGGCGCAACCTGGGCTCACTGCAACCTCCGCCTCCCAGGTTCAAGCAATTCTCCTGCCTCAGCCTCCTGAGTAGTTGGGATTACAGGCACGCGCCACCACACCCAGTTACTTTTTGTATTTTTAGTAAGACGGGGTTTCACCATGCTGGTCAGGCTGTTCTCAAACTCCTGGCCTCGTGACCCACCCGTCTCAGCCTCCCAAAGTGCTGGGATTACATGCGTGAGCCACCGTGCCCAGCATCTCTAAGGTATTTGAATGGAGTCCAATTCAGTCCTCCTCCCTACCCCATCGTCCATTCGGGTTTGTGGTCATGCCCTAGACCTCGTCATTATCAGGAACTGCAACCCCATCCTAAATCTCACCATCAAGCAGCCTCCTCTCTGATCTCCACCTTCAATCTTTCCAGCCCACTCCTTCTAACACCCAGATTCCGATAATCCTCCAGTCCCATTGAGACCTCCAATCCATCTTTCCATCTGTCATCTTTTCACTATTACCTGCCAACTCGATGCTCTCTCTTGCTCCCTCTTGCTCCCTTAGATTCCACAGCTGATCACTGCTGCTCCTTGCCATACACCGTCCCTCTTCTTTCTGTCTTATTTACTTGGCAAAGCCATGGCTCTGGTTAGACCCAACTCTTACCTCCTCTGTGCCTGCACCAGTGCAGCTGAACATGAGGTGGAAACATGTACAGACTTGCTTTAAACTCCCGATCATGCTGACCCCTGATACTTTTATTTCTCTAGTCCGCTCACTTTCATGACTTTTCTCCAACAACTATTTCACAACTTCTCCTCTTCTCCAATCTCTATTTCCCAAGATTCTCAGCAGATGACTTGGCTTCCACTTTCACTGAGAAAATAGAAACAATCAGAAGAGAATTCCCACAGACTTTCACCACCAGAAGCATCTGCACCAAGTTACTCCACATTCTCTCCCTTCATAGAGGACGCACGATCCTTCTACAGCCAATCTTGCACGTACACTAGATCTCATTCCCGCTCCACTGCTCAAGGACCTGATTTGAGCAATTCTCTCCACTTTCTTTGATAGCACTGCCTTCCCTTCTCTCTGCTGGTTCACTTTAATTGGAACACAAATACACTGTACTTTTTCTCATTAAAACGAACCAAACCAAACCAAACCAAACCAAAACCAAAACCTTATCTTGATCTCATTTCCCCTGCCAGCGACTGCCCTATTTCTCTCTTCTCCTTTGCAGCAAAGTGTCTCAAACATACTCTTTCATTCTCACATTTAAATCCTCTCCCCAGGAGACTTTCTAGAACATTCAGCTCCAATCAAGCTTCTGGCCCTAGCACTTCACAAACAGCGTTTTTGTCAGAATCACCAGTATCATGATTCTATGTTGCTGAACAAAGCAGTCAGTTCTCAGTCCTCATCCTACTTGAGCTACCAGTGGGGCTGGACCCTGGAGACCACTCCTTCCTCCCTAAACCACCTTCTCGACTTACCTTCCAAGGTACCGCTATTGATTTTCTGCCTATTCCACCAGCCACCCCTTCTCAGTCTCCCTTCTGGGTTCTTCCTCTTCTCCCCAGCTCTTAATGTTGGTCAGCCCCAGAGCTCAGTCTGTAGCCCTTCCCTCTGTCTACTCTCACTACCTTGGTGCTCTCATCCTGGCTCGTGGATGAAGGTTCAAATCAATACACCAATGGTCCCCTCCACCCCCAATGTGTATCTATAGCCCAGGCTTTTATCCTAAATATATCCAACGGCCTATTCAAACTCTTCACTTGGATATGACTCAGATGTTTCAAACTCAGCACATCCAAGAATGAAATCCTGATCTTCCCCCCAAATCGGTGCTGACCCCGTGCTTCCCCATCTTAGTCATGGGCAACTCCATCTTTCAGGTGCTTTGGGCAAAAATCTTGGCATCACCTTTGACCCCTCTGTTTCCCTTACTGGCCCATCTTCAACCTACCAGGGAATGCTAATGGTCCTGAAGATACATCCAGAATCCTACCCCATCTCCCTATCTCCCTGGCAACCATCCTGGCCTAAAACACATCCTAACTAGGTCCCTCGGTCACTGGGTCACTGCCGCAGCCTCCCAACACTCTCCCTGCTTTCACCACTGCCCCCTACTGTCCATTCTCAACATAGCACAGCAGCCAGAGTGGTTCTGTTCAAACGCAAGTGGGATCACAATTCGCCTCTGTCCAAATCTCCCAGCGGCTCTGCATCCTCCTCAGAGTCAGCCCAAAGTCCAGGAGTCCTGGGGAGCCTAAAACGCTCTATGGGACGAGGCCTCCTGTTACATCTCAACCCCTATTTCTGTCTTTTGTCCCCGACCTCACCAGCATTAGCTGCACCAGCCTTCCGCTGGGCCTTGGCCACACCAGGCACCCTCGCACTTCGGGTGTCCTCACTTACCATTCCCCCTGCCTGCAATGCTCTTCCTGAAAATATCTGCAACCTCTACCCATGTGGCTCCTTTAGGCTGCTTAGCTGTCACCTGCTCCCTGAAGTTTAACCGTCCCTCCTCCTCGAATATTTAATCTCTCTACACCACTTAATCCTTTTTAAAAACAAATTATTATTTTTTGAGACAGGGTCTCATTCTGTCACCCAGGCTGGAGTGCAGTGGCAACATCATAGCTCACTGCAGCCCGGGCTCAAGTGACCCTCCCGCCTCACCCTTCCACGTAGCTGGGACTACAAGTGCACACCACCATACCTGGCTAATTTAAAAAAAAATTCTGTAGAGACGAGGTCTTGCTATGTTACCCAGGCTGGTCTTGAACCCCCGACCTCAAGCAGTCCTCCCACCTTGGCCTCCCAAAGTGCTGCGATTACAGGCATGAGCCACTGTGCTCGGTCCCACTTTAATCTGTTCTATAGGTACTCGGCATCTTCTAACATGCTACAGAATTTGCTTATTTATTATGTTTATTGGTACTACCTCTCCCTGCTCCATGGAGGTGGAGATCTTATTGAATTTTGTAACCTAGAACAGCCACGGGCACTCAGCACATATTCAGCCAGATTTGCTGAACGAAAAACACGCACAGGACTGCCCTGTCCCATGCTCCAAAGCTCCTTTATTCTTGGAATTCTATGGTGCCCAACCACGATGACATGAAGGCACAAAGGACAGCATGACGCCAAATATTAATAACTTTAGTAAGGAAGAACTATTTCACTGACTTTTCAGTTTTTTCATGCATTGCAGTATCATCTTTTTTAACTTGTTCCCTCTTGTTACAGAGTTAGTAGTAGTTATCGTTCATTTCAGAAGTGATCTGCAAATGATCATATTCAGTACTTGAATGTCTTTTAGACTTTTCTGTAGGCAGACACAAGCCTGAAGAGGGAGCAACGGCAGAGGCACGTGTGCGTGCGCACACATACACACACACACACGCACTCCCAAAGCCAGACACCAGCAGCAGTCTCCAGGCAGACACTGACTTCAGCGGCCAAGGCATGCATCTCTGTGGCATGAAAACTACGGGGTGAGGGTGGTGAGTGGAATTGAAAGGGCAGCCAGAGAAACCGATCTGCCTCATCCTAACGCAGCTGTCCACAGCGCAAAGCCATTATCCCCTTATGATAAATGTGGAAGCCAAGTCTCGGGCTCAGCCTTATTATCACACCAACAGTGCAATACTGGATCACCTCACACACAGTAACTCACAACCTGCAGTTTCTAAACACAGATCCCGTCAGACCACTTAAAACACTGCTCTCGATGCCAGTGCACAATAACGGGTTACTTTGGCCCTGTAGTGGCCAATTACTCCCAGCTAAGGGCTCTGCTAATGGACTAACATTATAACACAATTCGAATGTTTGTACCGATGTAACTAGCGCTGCCCAAGAATCTGTCCACGCAGCCAAGAAGGCTCACAATGCAAACTGGGCTGTCCCTGCAAGATGTTAGCACCAAGAGGGTAGCTAGAAAAACATGCAGCATCTTCTTATATCTTTAATCGAACAAAAATGCAAAGCTGCTACATTTACTAAGAAGGGCAATGCAGTGACTCCAGAAGCCCTCTAACACACATGACAAATCTGGAATTGCAACTCAGTGCTATGGAGGCACCATCTCTGTTTTACTCACAGGGAAGCCTTTGACACATTTGTCAGGATAAACGGCTGTAATCAAGGCCGGGAGCTGTGACTCACGCCTGTAATCCCCACACTTTAGGAGGCCGAGGCGGGCGGATCATTGGAGGTCAGGAGTCCGAGACCAGCCCGGCCAGCATGGTGAAATCCCGTCTCTACTAAAAATACAAAAATCAGCTGGGCATAGTGGCACATGCCTGTACTCCCAGCTACTCAGGATGCTGAGGCAGAAGAATCGCCTGAACCCAGGAGGCAGAGGTTGCAGCAAACTGAGATCGCGCGCCCCTGTACTCCAGCCTAGGTGACAGAGCGAGACTCAGTCTCAAAAAAAAAAAAAAGGCTGTGATTAATTTAGAAGCCTGACACATGTGAAACATTTCCTGGCTCTTAGGTGCATCCTATGATATATTGTGATACGCCAGATTCTGCCCTTGTACGTAATCAAATAAAAAAACCTCACTGCGTTGATGCTGGCAGTTGTGTTTCAGGCTGTGGTGTGTTTCCAGGAACCTCCATGATATGAAAGATTGTGCCCAGAAGACACTGTTGTCTGTTGTGTGTAACTTATGCCTCTGAATGTTTTATCATCCCAACAATGGTGCTTGTTCCATAAAACATCGTGGCCCAGTGCACACTATTCTCAATCACAGTGCAAACGTTGTCAAAACACAAATTCCTTAGGCAGTCACATGCTATCAGTAAAAATGCTTCTTGAAGGAAGCTAGTGAGAAATATCGTTACATAAGCACAGACCAGTGATGCCTGCTTTGCCCTAAATGATTATTTAACCTCAGATCCACAAATCCATTCTGCTTTGATGTCTCTGAGTCATAACCTTCTTAACACTTCTGGACTTGAAAGGGATTGTTTTAAAAAGTCTTCAGAAGCCTGTAAGTTGTAGCCTAGCATCATCAAAACGAGGCTCAGTTTTGCTTCCCTTGCTCAGATGATGAGTTTTTACAAAACCGTAAAGCCCCAGCTCCTGGCTATTTGGGCCCCATGAGCCACAAGCCTCCGTCAGCACATGTGCCATGCATGCTACACAGGCCCTGGGCTGCGCAGGCTGAGGATAACGCGGAAGGGGAGCCTGGGTGTGGGGCCACGGGCATGGCGTGCCGTAGGCCTGACTGAATACAGCCGCTCCTCACCATGGCCCTGGGCAGCTGGGAGCACAGGGGCCTGAGGGGGCTGGGTTCAAATGAATTCTCACCTGGATGCACGAACACGTGCAAAGCATTTTTTAAATGAGCTATCCCGTTGAAGCAAAAGTGAGAACTCAAAACTCTGTCCCATGTTTGAAAACCACAGTCATAGTAGGTAAGGTTGTGGGCTCAAGAACCTGGAAGACGTTTGAGCAAATCCAAGCTCCGTCACTGAGGCAAGTCACCATGTCTCCAAGTCTCAGTTTCTTCAATCATCATGGAACTAGTGTGAGAATTTAATGAATTCTATAAAGCGTTGAGCACAGCCTTGCACTATATACAGCAGGTATAAAAATAATTACTAATAACAACGATGGCATGTCCTGGTCGTGGCTTCTGTAGAATTATTTTCTGAGACATGTCTCTTTTAATTCTCCTGCGGCACTAGGTCTAATTAAAGTTGACAATGTGTAAGTCAGCTTTCCGCTTAACTACAGTATTCCCTTCTTTTTTTAATTTTTTTACTTATTTATTTTATTTTTTGAGACAGAGTCTTGCTCTGTCTGGACTGGAGTCCAGTGGTGCAATCTGGGCTCACTGCAACCTCTGCCTCCCAGGTTCAAGTGATTCTCTTGCCTCAGCCTCCCAAGTAGCTGGGACTACAGGTGCGTGCCACTATGCCCAGCTAATTTTTTATATTTTAGTAGAAACAGGGTTTCACCATGTTGGTTAAGACAGTCTTGATCTCCTGACCTTGTGATCCACCCGCCTAGGCCTCCCAAAGTAATGGGATTACAGGCATGAGCCACTGCACCCGGCCCAGTATTCCCTTTGTAACATTACCAAGTCATCAATTCTATTTTATAGGTTAAGTAAAAAGAGAAATAGTCTATATACTAGAAAACCAGGCCGGGTGACGTGGCTCATGCCTGTAATGCCAATACTTTGGGAGGCCGAGGTGGGCAGATCACCTGAGATCAGGAGTTTGAAACCAGCCTGGCCAACATGAGGAAGCCCCGTCTATACTAAAAATACAAAAATTAGCTGGGTGTGATGGTGGGCGCCTGTAATGCCAGCTACTTGGGAGGCTGAGGCAAGAGAATTGCTTGAGCCTGGGAGGTGGAGGTTGCTGTGAGCCGAGATCATGCCACTGCACTCCAGCCTGGGCAACAGAGTGAGACTCCAGCTCAAAAACAGCAAAGAAAACCATATTATTCAGTAGTGTGTAGCTGGCTAGACGAACATGACCAGTTTTGGAATCCCGTGCATTCCTTCTCCCACAGAAGCAGGTGTAGACACGCCTCATGATGTTGCTCTTTCCTGCAAGATGCCGAAATGAGAGAAGACTGTTGAGAAAATAAAGTAGTAATTGACATTGCCAGTGGGTACTTATGACTTTTTAAGAAAGCTGTTAAACTTTGTCAGATTACTAACTCTTCTGGCTAAATCATCTTTTTAGAAATCATGTTTGGATTCATATATTTGAGCTGACAATGCACTTTACTCTCTCTTGAAAATTACTACTTTGATGTCCTTTAGTGTTGAGGAAGAAAACCCCCTACTTTTGAGTTTAATGGAAAGAAGCTACAAATACTTTCACACGTAAGAATATATTAGGCTGGTGCAAAAGTAATGGCGGTTTTTGCCATTACTTTTCATTTTTACCATTAAAAGTAATGGCAAAAAGCATGATTACTTTTTCACCAACCTAAGATTCATGCATTCCAAGGGTGCCGATTTCCATGGCTGACAAAGAGCCCCTGCTGTTATTTTCTTACTGGCTCCTGTGGCAATGTGGGCAGGTACCAGGCAGGGATCTGCAAGCTGAGTCCACAGAGGACTGCGGATCTGAGGGTTCTCCAGCTGCCCCCAGTCCACACGGCTAAGGAGAAACACAGTGGGACCCTTGCTTCTGCTGCAAAACACTAGACGGATGTGCCTGGTTATCATTTGTGAAGTTTAGATTGTTGAAAGAGATGTGGTTGAAAGAAACGTGCCTTTTTTCTTTTCACAGTTACATCAAACATCTCAGGTGGCAGACGCTGAGACACGGAGAGATCACTTTTTTTTTTTTGGTTTTTTAAGAGATGGGGTCTGGCTCTGTCACCCAGGCTGGAGTGCAGCAGTGTGACCGTAGCTCACTGCAGCCTCCAACTCAGACGGATCACATTCTGTCACCTGGCTAGACCCAAGTGAAGGCCCACAGAACTCAGGCTGCCCTGAGCTGGGCTTTATTTCATTCACACAGAAGCATCTCCTTCCTATGAAGCTCAGACAGCGGTTGCCCGGTGTCAAGCTCCTCAAAGTATTAATATTTTCCCAAACAGCCATTTAAATGTGAGGACTTCTCAGTGTCTAGGACAACTGGGATGTATTCACTTGCTTTCTTTAAAGTGGATTTACAAGGTTTTGCTTTTGTCCAGCAATCACATTCCATTTTTTATACCAGAAGATGCAGAGTGATGGGTGTAGTAAATCCAAAGCAGATGAGACCTCTGCACAAGCAAAACTCCTGTAAGTGAAGTGACTCCTATCCTAAGTGACTCCAGAACCCACTCAAGGACTCGGAAAGCCCCAGAACACAAACCCTGGCCCCCAGAGTCCCTTCTCCATGCACACGAATGCCATTTTCCTCACTTTGTTAAAACAGAAGGCAGCCCAAGACAAAAAGATAGAAACACATTTAAAAACCTGCTAATGGAGGCCCAGCACTTTGGGAGGCTGTGGTGGGTGGATCACTTGAGGTCAAAGTTTGAGATCAACCTGGCCAACATGGTGAAACCTCATCTCTATTACAAATATAAAAATTTGGCCCGGCATGGTGGCCGGCGTCTGTAATCCCAACTCCTCGGGAGGCCGAGGCACGAGAATTGCTTGAACCTGGGAGGTAGAGGTTGCAGTGAGCTGGGATCACGCCACTGCACTCCAGCCTGTGCGACAGAATGTCAAAACACCACCGCATGTTCTCACTCATAGGTGGGAATTGAACAATGAGAACATCTGGACACAGGAAGGGGAACATCACACACCGGGGCCTGTTGTGGGGTAGGGGGAGTGGGGAGGGATAGCATTAGGAGATAAACCTAATGTAAATGACGAGTTAATGGGTGCAGCACACCAACATGGCACATGTATACATATGTAACAAACCTGCACATTGTGCACATGTACCCTAGAACTTAAAGTATAATAAAAAATATAAAAAAAGAATGTCAAAACAACAACAACAACAAAACCTGCTAATAGAGTTTTAAACTACTGCAAGGATATAAACATAATTATTTATGATGTATTTTAATAGAAAAAAATGCCTTTCAATTTACATAGTAACTATTCTGCCTCTTGGAGGTCTTGCTTTCATTCATAAGTAGGCTGATTAGTGATGAGCTTACACATTAGCAAAAGATGCATGTTCATCTGTACCATATTGCAATTCCTGTATGCCTTAATGTAATCAATACTACTGCGGTATTTTCAGTAGATAACCTTCCTTAAGTAGATAACCTTCCCCTCCTTTTCTGAGATGAGATGCCCCAAAAACGATTCAGGGAAATGCAGGATTTAATTAGTTTGGGTTCTGTCATTTACCATCTGTGTGAGGTCAGGGAAGCTTTCTAACCTTGTGAGCTGCAGATGCCTCATCTGTTACATGGAAGAGGTCAGACATCTTTTCCTTTTAAAGCAAAAATTCTACAATTCTCCCGTTCAGACCGTTCAAACACCTAATAAATCTCAATTCTCCCAAACTGCAGCCTGCCTCCTTCCAAATAATGATAAATTCTCAATTAATTAAGTGTGACTCAATGAGATTGCTTTAAGACGTGTGGGCCTGCAATACACAAGCCCACTGCCTGACACCCTGGGACTTTAGCCTCTTCACGTCCATTTCTTCTTTTCCCCATGTGGTGTTCACATAGTTCTTCCTCCCATGTGGACTCCGGAACACCTTCCTTTCTGCCTTTTCCCATCTACACTCAAATTCCAGCCCACACCATTTTCCACCTGCCCCGAGAGCACCGATTATACCTCCGTTAGAGATATACTAATGAACACTTTCAATATTCTGTCACATACTTATTAAATCACATTTCCTGACTCTTTACTCTCTTCTACTTCTCACTCTTGTTCCAAGTAGTTCCCAATAGATCACATCCTTTTTAGTGATCAGGGCCATGCCTTACATTTCTGTTTCCGCCTTAATGCTAGAAACTCTGTTAGGACAGGGATTTTAATCTTATAGCTTCAAGTTTAAATGGTAAGGACCTTTGAACTGACCTCGTCCAGATCCTTTGGTAGGCCGGAGGGGAAGAAACCAACATTTGCCAAATGGCTATTGTGTGCCCAGTGTTTGGCTAAGAATTCCTCATAACTTCTCTATGAAGTATCATTTTCTCCACTTACAGATGAGGATGCTGAAGGGCAAATTTCTATAACTTCTAGGGGATAACTTTGTAACTTACACTACTTTTCAAATTCTTTGGAGTTATCTTTTTTTTTTTTTTTTTTTTTTTTTTTTTGAGGCGGAGTCTCACTTTGTTGCCCAGGCTGGAGGTGCAGTGGCACAATCTTGGCTCATTGCAAGCTCTGCCTCCTGGGTTCACACCATTCTCCTGCCTCAGCCTCCCTAGTAGCTGGGACTACAGGCACCCACCACCAAGCCCGGCTAATTGTTTTGTATTTTTAGTAGAGATGGGGTTTCACTGTGTTATCCCCGGGATGGTCTCGATCTCCAGACTTCGTGATCCGCCCGCCTCAGCCTCCCAAAGTGCTGGGATTACAGGCGTGAGCCACCGCGCCCAGCCTGGAGTTATCTTAAAGTCTACCATGGACTGTCTCCCAAAATGCATATACTGAAATCCTAACACCCAAGGTGATGGTGTTAGGAATGGGGGGCCTGTGGAGGTGATTAGGTCATGAGGGTGGAGCCATTGTGAATGGGATTAACGCCCTTATAAAAGGGACCTCAGAAAGCTACCTCACTTAGGGAAACAGAGCCCCCTCTTGTTATAGAGCCTGCTGCACTTAGAAGGCAGCGAGGGGTTTCAGTAACTCCTACTGTTAAAAACTCCTACTGTCTAAAACCTCTGTTATAGACATTAGGTCTACAGTGGTAATTCTGACACCTGGAGTCTAGGGCCATGTCCGTAACCAGTGCTTGTCTATCAAAGGAGGCACTGGTCCACACAACCCTAATCTCCCCCTAGTCATTTCCCATCGAGCCATGTGGCCTAATGACTACTATCTGGAGGCACCTAGTTCATGCATGTGTGTACCTGTTACTACGGGTTACCCTCTGCTAGGTAATAAGCTCTGTGAGCACAGGGTCCTTGTCTATTTTGTTCACTACTATATTCCTGATGCCTACAAAGGCCCTGGCACCTAGTAGCTGCTCAGTAAATATTTTTTGGATGGATGGATAGATGGATGGATGGATGGATGGATGGATGGATGGTGGATGGTAGCCAGTGAAAGAACACAAAATTTTGAAGCTTGGAGCCATCTAATACCATGGATCCCAGATTTTGATCTGCTCCCAACAGTGCTAAATTGAGTAATGCACAGCCCGCCGATACATTTCCTGTGATTAAATCCTATTCTTCCCTGTATGGAGTTCCAGAAGGTGTTTTTATAAGTTGGTTATATTTGGAACAAGAAGTGAAGAAATTGCTAGCCCTCATCAAGGCTGTCCATTAAGTGAGAAAAAAGCCTGTGACTGGTCTCGAATTACTTATCGAGTAATTGAAATGTGTGGGGAACCACGACAGGATATAAGACTAACGGCCACGCTATTCTGTACGTCCAAGCTTCTCTAGACATTAGCCCCTTGACCGTGAAGATCTCGCTGATTGGGCATGCGCATGTTTGCTAATCACGTGGCACAGTTTAGCCAGTTTGTGATTATTTGTGTACAAATGTCTCTATCTCACCCAAAGACAACAAAAGCCCTGCAGGTCAGGGCCTATTTATATCATCTCACACAAAGCCTTGTCAAGAGTCTCCGCTGAATGGATTCACCAATTCCAGAAGACAGGTGCCCTGTCGTTCACTTTTGAAAAATGACTCACGTGGTTCATTTATGTCCTTGGGCCTGCAGTTAATTCAATTCTAAGGCTGAAATGACTGAGGGAGGACAAGGCACACAACAGGCTTCTCAGCATAACTTGCCAAGAACAATCTCCTTACCGTGGAGAGGAAAACCCTTGAATCCTTATTGATTCTTCGGGGCCATTCGAGAGGGAAAAATAATCTTCTCACTCTTGTAGTTTCAATCTCAAAAAAGGGTTGAAGGGCTCCTATTTCCCTGTCAAACTCTGTTAAGACATTCAGGGCACTGTGCCAGCCACTGGCTTGGGACAATGAGTCTCTGTTTGCTTAGCTAAGATTAGAGAATGTGTCAACAGTCTTATCTACCACGTCATCTCTAGATCTTATTACCCTTAAGCAATGAGTGGGTTGAAAGATTAGTAGGAATGCCTAGAAGTAACTTGTTGGAAGAAACTGGTCACAGACCTGCCAAGGTTTGTCATCACTCAGCATGTCTGTGAAGTTCAAGGGAACTGTGTCTTTAATGGGACTGTCTAAAATCATCTGTAAATGAAGGCCTAAGACCAAGAGGCACATTGTCTCCATGATGCTCTGATGCCCAGCCTCTTCTCTCACTGATACCCCAAGAGTGACTCTTCGCTAGGAATTCTGCAGACGGACCAGGCTGGGTTCTTTTATACCCTAATTCAAGTCATGAGTCCTGAGTGACATCCAGTCCTCTGTGGTTCAGATGGAAAAGCGTTTGAGTGGCTCTGTTGTTCACCTCCAAAGGCATCCCTCCTTCCAGGTGACAACAGCTGGGTATTAGAAGCATGTTCTTAAAGGTCTTGCTACTCAAAGGGTTGTCCTTGGACCAGTCCTTGGTATCACATGGGAGCTTGTTCTAGATGCAAATTCATGCCTCCTTTCCTACCCAGACCCACTGAATCAGCATCTCAGAAGGCAGGGCCCAGCAACCTTTGCTTTAGTGATACCCTCAGGTAATTCTTCTGTGTGCTAAAACTCGAGCTGGATTGCTCGCAACTGTCCCCTTCTCAACCACACTTCCCAGAGGACTGGAATCTAAAGGCTGGGATGCGATGAGCAATTATTTTCTAGTCTCTACACCTGCTAAAAGAGTGTTATCCATAGGTTTCATCCTGGGATAACTGTGAAACAGCCTTGCCAGGTAAAAAGTGCTCCCTGAAGGAGGAGGAGTAAGAGTGGCAGGGACGCAGTGGTTCAGTGCTGGCACTGGGTTCTTCCTGAGTTCCTTCAGTTTCCTAGTGAGTGGTTCTGTCAGTGGAAAGGTTAGTGCAAAGTGGCTCTAACCCTAAAAAGTGAAACAGGATTCTGTTGAAGATTGCTCAATCCAGCCTACTCACTCCTTCCTGCCTCACCCCTGCCCACAGGCGCCAGGAAAGTGTTTCCTCCCAGATTTCTCTTGATACAAGAGACCTAGGGTGGTGCATTCATGAAATGAGGGAAATTCTTTTTACAGTTTTCTTTTTTCTTTTCTTTTTTTTTTTCCTGAGGCACAGTCTCACTCTGTTGCCCAGGCTGGAGTGCAGTTGGTGTGATCTCGGCTCACTGCAACCTCCACCTCTTAGGTTCAAGTGATCCTCCTGCCTCAGCCTCCCAAGTAGCTGGGATTACAGGCATGCACCATCACGCCTGGTTACTTTTTGTCTTTTTAGTAGAGACGGGGTTTCATCATGTTGGCCAGGCTGGTCTCGAACTCCTGACCTCAGGTGATCCACCCGCCTCAGCCTCCCAAAGTGCTGGGATTACAGATGTGAGCACTGTGCCCGGCCTCTATAACAATTTTAATGGGGAACTTCCCATGAGAACCTTCGGTCAAAAATCGTGTAATTGTCGTACCTTGTCTCTATTTCTTTTTGATGAGATGAATCTACCCCACTGGGTTTCAGTGGACTTAGCAGATGTGGAAGTGCCCAAGAGTGGGGTCTATGCAAAAGAAGCAGGCAAGGCTAGCAGGGACTGTTCGTTAGATGAGCAGTACATGACTTACAGATTCTCTGGGTGTCAACTCCTAGTGCTGTCTTAGGGAGAGTTAGGTGGCCCAGTTATGAGACTGATAAGGTACGGTGTGCTCAGTAGAAAATGGTTAGTAGAGAGAAAAAGAAAGAAGAGGTGAGGCATTTCAACTTTGAATGAAAAAAACCAAAAGAGCCAACGAAGATTCTAAGTCATGATGCATGTGGTAAAACCATTTTGAAGATCTTGTATCATAACCTGTTTTTAAATCATTAAACGAAGAAACAAAAACCTCCAACGGACAACTCTAAACCTGTAACTTCAGCTCGAAACTCTGAAGACCTGCTCACATTACAAGTTTAGGGCATTATTCTAAATTTACTCGGGAAAAGTCCATTTATTTCCCCCAGGTGGAGATTTTTAAACCTAAGGGAGCCATCTGGTGGCTTGAGTGTCTACTAATTAAAATCCTTTTAGCCATAAGATTCCCACCTTGTGGGTACCGTCACTGAAGCAAATGGCGTAAGATACACCAGAGTTGACGAGAAACTTTCTTATGCTGTATAAAAATCAAATATTGCAATTTAGACAAATCAAGCCAAAATTCAAGGTGAGTGGTAATTCTGGTATTTTTTCTACCTGCTTAAAAGAAACCAAATAGTGTCTGTGAATCATTAAAAGTTGTCTTTCGAACCCTATTTCAAGACTGCATGTTTTAACATGAGACAACCCAATCATTACAAAACTAGAAATCGATCCAAAAAACATGAGTCAACGGCTTGCTGAAATGACACACGGGTTTGACGAGCTTTGGATCCTGCCCTTACTTTGTAAGGGGTCAGAAAAGAATGGTAGAAGAGAAGCTCCTACTTAGAAAAAGAAAATTTCAACTCCTAAGCATTGTGAATAAAAATAATTTAGTATGAAATATGCCCTTTCAGGTCTATAATGACACACTGCACTAGTTAATGATTTCAGTATAGTATCTATATCTTTCAATGCTGAAATTTCTTTCTTTGCATCTTTTTTTTTTCTTTTTTTTTTTTTTTTGACAGGGTCTCACTCTGTTGCCCAGGCTGGAGTGCAGTGATGCAATCGTGGCTCACTGTAGCCTCAAACTCCTGGGCTCAAGCAATCCTCCCACTTCAGCCTCCCAAGTAGCTGGGACTACAGGTGTGCACCACCACATCCAGCTTTTTTTTTTTTTTTTCAATTTTTTGTAGAGACAAAGCCTCTCTATGTTATCCAGGCTGGTCTCGAACTCCTGGCCTTAAGTGATACTCTCACCTCAGCCTCCTGAGTAGCTAAGACCACAGGCATGCACCAGTAAACCTGGCTATTTTTTTTTTTTACTTTTGTAGAGAAGAGGTCTATGTTGCCTGGGCTGGTCAAAATCTTTTTTTCGTGGAGAAAAATGTACATGTATTGTTCTCATCAGGAAGGAGAAAAGACCACTTCCAAACTTCAGATAGTGGCCTTGAGTAAGAGGCAGTTCTGCTAACAATAACTTCGCCTATTTTTCTTCCAATGTCTCCATTACTCCAAGCTGCCTGGCAGTGAATATATTACTGGGAATGGTGGTGATTATTTTTTTATAAGGACTATCCGGTGGCTTTCATGAAAGCCTAATTATACTGATTTTACTGGCAACCAAGAGGAACAAGCAGTTAAGAGTTCCTCATTATTTCCCTTATAGTTCACTGTGAAAGCATAACTTGGCTATAAACATGTACCAAAAAATTGGAGTAAATGTTGAAAATCAAAATGTAATTTTTAAAATTACTTACAAAACCAATACAAAGACTGCTTTTTAAAAAGATATTATGTCTGCTGAATAATACTTTAAACCAAATGTAATAAAAGACTGAAATGTACATTATCACTGGACTACTCCTCAAGTAATGGCATTCTGTTTTTAACACTGACCAATACATTTAAAATGAGAAAATATCACAGTGTATCCTCTGTGAATACATATACCCTGATTTATCTGGGTAGAAGCATTGCTCACAGGATCTGGTGCTGCCAGTTCACGCTTTCCCTTGCTCCCCTCCTTGCTCTAGTAAGAGAGTCCCGACAGCCAGGCCGCGGGTGATGGTACCAGCCTGGCCTCTACTCCCATCACGAATTGCAGTGAACACCACGCTAAGCATGCACACTGGGTCAAGATACCAGTTCAATTCCAGAAATATAGTTAAAAAAAATTCAGCCAGTGTTCCAGGCCCACTCTCTGCATGATGCCATACTGTTAATTTAGTTGAATTGTTCCAATTCACATGACGCAGTCGTAGCCTTCATCTCGGGGGATGGAAATGGGGCAAAGAAGGTGCAGGGTGCTGGGTGTGCAAAACACTAGGTGTGAGAAGTTCTCATGACACGGCACATACTTATTGCTATGAACCAAATGCATTTTCATTCTCAGAGCCCCTCTGTCTCCCATGCACCACTCTGAGGCTTTTGAACAAATTGGCTCAACACGTACAACACTAGACGGAACAGTAGGCAGGCCCAGTGCAAATTTTTCTGGCAAAGTCAAGAAAGCCGGAGGGTCTGATGCAATGGTTCTCAAGCTGGGGTGATTCTGTCCCGCAGGGGACATATGACAATGTTTGGAGACCGGGGATGCTACTGGCATCTAGTGGGTGGAAGCCAGGGGTGCTGATAAACATCCTACAATACACAAGACATCCTCTGCAGCAAAGAATTCTCCAGCCCCAGATGTCAACAGCGCCAAGGCTGAGAGTCCCTGGTCTAAGGGATTTCAAAACCACTTCAGAGAGATAAAGTGCGAGGCGGTATCATAGAGGCGCCAGGAAGGTGTCCCCTCATTCTCCCCCTTCCTAGAACTTGACGATAGATGCTTAGCACTGAGCCTGACGCACAGCAAGCACTCAATAACTATTTACTGAATTTATTAAAATAAGCAAAATGGGCCGGGCGCAGTGGCTCACACCTGTAATCCTAGCACTTGTGGGAGGCTGGGGCGGGTGGATCACTTGAGGTTAGGAGTTTGAGACCAGCCTGGCCAACATGGTGAAACCCTGTCTCTACTAAAAATACAGAAATTAGCTAGGCATCGTGGCGCGCACCTGTAATCCCAGCTACTTGGGAGGCTGAGGCTTGAACCCGGGAGGCGGAGGCTGCAATGAGCCGAGATTGCACCACTGCACTCCAGCCTGGGCGAGAGAGAGACTTCATCTAAAAAAAAAAAAAAAAAGGCAAATGCCATCCCACACTTCTCCCCCCGAGATCCAAGTATAATCTGATTGTGGTTATCAACTTCCCTAACTTTTGTCTATTTAACTTTTGAAAACATAGCATACTATGTTATATCACATAACATAAAAGGTGACATCACGTTTTGTATGCAAAAGCTAGATTTTCCCACAAATAATTTGAGCCTTGTATTGTGCCAATCACTTCAAGCCAAAAGTTAAGTTTGCACAGAATGGCTGTATCCATCTACAGAGCAGTATTTGTTCAACTGTTTGTTGAATATTTGGGGCATTTTCCTATTATTTATTTTAAAAGAGGAAAATGATAAAATGCACCTGAAGCAGCTAGTGATAAGAAATGAAGATATCGCAGTAGTCATGCATTTGAGAAGAGACAAAGATGGAAATGATCACACAGAACAGAAGTGACCAATTGGGTGCTCACTGGAATCTAGGTAGGCCAATGTTCAGATTTAGTTATAAAAGAATGAAAAGCAAAAAGCTATAGGCATGGGGAAATATATCATCAAGAACTGTGACGACTCATACGTGGTAGCTGAGAAAGTGGATCTCAAGGAGGTAGAGAGTAGAATGATAGATACCAGAGGCTGGAAGGGTGTAGGGGGCGTCTGAGGGGATTGGTGAGTGGATACAGACATACAGTTCGATAGAAGGAATAGTTCTAATGTTCCATAGCAGAGTAGGGGGACTTTGGTTAACAATACTGCACTGTATATTCCAAAATAGCTAGAAGAGAGGACTTGAGGTGTTCCCAACACAGAAAAGACAAATATTCGAAGTAATGATACTTGATCATTACACATTCTATGCGAGTAAACATCACATATACCCCATAAATAGGTAGAAGCATTATGTATCAATAAAAAAAGGTAACTAAAAGACCAGGGATAATCAGACATTGTGTGTGTGTGTGTGTGTGTGTGTGTGTGTGTGTGTGTGTGTGTAATTTAATGTACCTATTTTTATTTATTTACTTATTTATTTTTTGAGTTGGAGTCTTGCTCTGTTGCCCAGGCTGGAGTGCAGTGGCGTGATCTCGGCTCACTGGAACCACCACCTCCTGGATTAAAGCAATTCTCCTGCCTCAGCCTCCTGAGTAGATGAGATTACAGGCACCTGCCACCAAGCCCAGCTAATTTTTTGTATTTTTAGTGAGACAGGGTTTCATCATGTTGGCCAGGCTGGTCTCTAACTCCTGACCTCGTGATCCGCCTGCCTTGGCCCCCCAAAGTGCTGGGATTACAGGCGTGAGCCACCGCACCTGGCCTTAATGCACCTATTTATAAATATATAAATATACTTTTTATTTTAAAATTATAATTAAAAATATAAATATACTTTTAAACCTCTCTGGGCTGGGAGCATGTAAGTGTACTGTTCCATTTTGCACAGGGGTGCATGTTTTGGGGACTATGCCATGTATGAAGGTAGACGGTTGTCTGGATTCATATTCTAAAGATATAATATGTCTATGCCTACGGGGGTGGGGGGTGACGGTGGGGTCGGTCAGCAGGGTGACCATGGATAAGAGACTTAGAGAAGCCCACCACCTTCCAAGTCAGCAGCCCCTCCACAGGACCACTGGGAAAGCAGAGTCCTGGCTACATGCCGTGACCATGGGCTGTGGCAGGGATGTCCTTACAGTGGAGGTGAGGGTTCCAGACCAGCTATCACAGCCTGATGGTACCAGCTGTCAACATAACCCCGTTCCCTCCTCCTGCTCTGATCCCATCCATCCAAGCGATCTTCTGATTACAGTTTGCCTTTCTAAGTATTTTTGCCCTAAAGGGGAAAGACGATGCTACTTAGCCAACATGAGCCCACTGGATAATTATACATTTTATTATGAATCAATAATACTGGCATTCTGTCTCTGTTGAGGGATTCTGTTCCAACAAAAGCATCCACACTTGGTGTGTTGACAAACCAGCTGAAGTCTAGATGCTGGGCTGTGGGGCATCCATCCAGGTGAATGCCACTTGTTGGGGGCCCTGCTTCCATGGCCACCTGCCCTTCCCCACATCTGACCACATCCTAACAAACATCTGCAACTGAAGGGAGGACATGTAGGGGTCCCCCAATCCTCCTTTCTTCCTTTCTCCCTGCTCAGATTTCTACAAACATGGATCCTAGTCCGCATTCCCTCCCTGTTTCTTTTTGGTTTTTGATCTGACCAATAAGCCACCAGTGAACAACTGTGTACCGTGCCGACAGAGAGACCATTCCGGCCTCAAATGTCATTGCTGTGAGAAGCCAGTTAGCAATGGGCACCCCTGGAATTCGTGGGAGCAAAGTTAACCCAATGCTGCACTTCACCAACCTCAGGGTAAAACGCAACTCATGGAAACCTCAAAGCTGAAACAGGACTTAGATAAACTAAAGGCATCGTCCACAAGTTGCCTATCATTTGACTTCTTAAAAGCAGCACTCACTTGGTGAAACCCTGTTACTACTAAAAATACAAAAAATTAGCCGGGCCTGGTGGCGTGCGCTTGTAATCCCAGCTACTCAGGAGGCTGAGGCAGGAGAATCGCTTGAACCTGGAAGGCAGAGGTTGCAGTGAGCCAAGGTGGCGCCATTGCACTCCAGCTTGGGCAACAAGAGCAAAACTCCATCCCAAAAAAAAAAGGGAGGCACCCACTTAACAGAAACTCTAAGGAGATCTGAAATAGGTACCATGCCTCCGGGAATGTCAAAACCATCTTTTCCATGGAGAAGTATATATTTTTTACATGCTCATGCCTCCCTCCTTTCACAGAGGGTGGGCTCTGAGGCTCTCCCAGGTATGGAACTGACAATGAAGCTGGCTGCTGCTAAGCTCAGTACCCTCCCCTTCGCTGCTTTACTTTTCTCATCAGTACAGGGGTGTGTGTGTAGGCGGGGGAGATAATAGAGTCTAATTCTCTGAGCCTGATAATCCTACAGCTGAATCTTCCCCTCCGTTATGGACTGAATGTTAGTCTCCCCTACCCCTAAATACACACGAAACCCTAACCCCCAGTATGATGGTATTAGGAGATGGAGCCTTTGGGAGACGATCAGGTTAGATGATGTCAAACAAATGGGGCCCCCAGGATGCGATTAGTGTCCCTATAAGAAGAGACGCCAGAGCCCTCTTTTTGTCCACCATGTGAGAACACAGTGAGAAGGAGGCCGTCTGCAAACCAGGAAGAGAGCCCTCACCAGGAAGTGAATCAGCCACCACCTTGCTCTGGAACTTCCACCCTCCAGAACTGTGAGAAATACACATCCACATTGAAGCTGCCCAGTCTACAGCGTTCTGTTGTAGCAATTCCAGCTAAGACACCCTTCTTCACCCTGTGTGCCCCTCCATGGCGCTGCTGCAGGCTGGCTTGGTATTATAGTTATGTGTGCGCCTGTCCTAGCTGTGAGTACTCTAGACACAGGGCTGCATCCTGACATTCCTGAACCTGCAACACTGACCCCAGCAGTGTGACGCTTCCAAAAACATCAGCTCCTATTGTCCCTGGAGAGCTTCAGTTGAAGGAGAGCGGAGCTTCCCTTAGGGTGGCCCTCAAGCTTCTTGGTGAAGTTCTTAAAAGCATCTTCCACATCTGCTATGTCCTTTGTACCTGATAAAATGCACAAATCAGCAAATAAACCTACTCTGCCCCTCAAAAGCATCAATCAACAAAGCTAACAGAGGAACAGCTGATACATTTGCCGATCACATTTTCCACTGAAAAACTTAGGAGAAACCTGATCTGTTGGTAGGGCACACAGAAAATCTGAAATTACGTCTGAGAAAAACATTTTACCTTTATGGGAGGTATACATCTAAATAGAAATATAAGGACAGAATTTTATTTTGGACCAAGTTATTTTTCATGGCATATTGAAAAACGAACGTTTGATCATCACTGCTGTCAATGTTGCCTTCATTCTAGACTAGCACTGGTGTTTCTGTAAAAACAGGGTGTAGACAGAGTAGATATTTAGATCTGCTAGAAAGGACAGAGACCAAAGTGGTGTGAGGACTCCGGCTCCGGGCCAGAGCGTCCTTCCCTGCCTCATATTAACAGGGAACGCAATGACATTCACCTCTTCTTATGAGAATGCAGAATATTTTACCTGGCACTGCTCTCTCTGAAAAGAGCAGCAAGCAGTACCAAGAAGCAGCAAATACCCTGGCAGATGATTTTAGGATCTCCATACTCTGACAAAGAAAAATATAAATGAACATAAAATGTAAAACATTCTGAAACTCCAAAAGGCAGGAATGAAGGGAATACGTGAGAGCTCTTCCAACGATGCATTCTCATGCATATTTATCTACAAGACAGCCTGCTGAGTTCATTACTGTCTATCACAGAGGGACTGAATTTCCTTTGCCTTTAAATGCCTGTCCCCTAAAGCAAGGTTCAGTTTCTCGCTCTGTGTTTTCCCCCTTAGCCTGCAGGTGGCGCCCCCGTTCCAGTCCCCTATGACCACTGCTGAAAATGGCTAGATCTTGGATTCCTCAGAAACAAGTTCTTGCCACATCACCTTATGCGACTGAAACAGGCGGTTTTCTCTTTTGCTTTTAGCCAGAACCCAACTGTTCCTGGAATCACAGGGCCAGAAGACTTGATTAAGCTGAAATTAATACCAAGAAATAGAAGGGGAGAAAAAGAGGACAGACTTTCATGACTGGGAGCTCTATCCAACAACAGGCTTATGTGGGAGGTGGATTTTGACTGCATGATGAAATACACAAGCAATACATTCAAAACCTTAATCCACCCAGCAAAGATCCATGGTATATAGTCTGAACAAGTTGATGAAAACTCCAATAGTGATTGATCAAATGTCAAAGGCAACAGACATTTGGATAACTTTTTATATACCCTGGTGTACACTCGGAGGTACATATCGCCGGTGGGGTTGTGTTCAGCCTGGATGTCTTTGTTTATATACCAGAGGTTCTGCTGTGTGATTAGTTATTTGTTCTTAGTGGAATACAGTGTAGGTCTTTACACACTCCCCCTCTTGCCTGGGTCCTGACTCCTAAGGTTGCATTTTCACTGGGAAAGGTTGGATCGCATTCTGGGCAGCAGCAGGTGGCTGAATCCAAGCTTGCTGGTGGCAAATTATCCTGGCCCCCATCCCACAACTTGCAGGACCTGAGCCCGAAAGAAGTCTGTACACCTGGTCTCTCAAGCCACTGTCAAGAGGGCTAAAAACTTTGACGTACAAAAGACTGTATCGAAGGCATTTGTTTCTTCTCTGTCTTTGTCACTAATCTGTGGGCTCTTTATTTTTCATGTTCATATTTTCCATAGCTCATGTCATTTCTAGCATATAATAGATGCTCAATAAACATGTACGGAATGAATGACAGGGTACAGCCAAATTACCGAAAGTTATCAAGACACTGTCCAGAAATACTCTGGTGGCAGTAGTGTGTTACTTACAACGTAAATCAATGTCATTACGTCGGGATCCAGCTGTTGTGCCCATTTACAGAAATATACTTTAGGTTCTAAGTGGGAAAATTAAAGAAGAAGTTAAGTGTCTGTGAAGCTGATAGTTACAAACGGTAACACTTAATTTTCTTCTGAAAGATGATATACTGCTCTAAGCATTTATATAGTATTTCATTTAATCCTCATGACAATCTCTGAGGTAAATACAACTATGATCACATTTTAGAGGAAACTGAGGCACAGAAAAGTTAAGAAGTTTGCTCAAAGTCACACGGTAACTTGAAGAGTCAGGATGCAAACCTATGCAGTCTGACTCCAGAGCTGGGGAAACAAAAACAAGAAACTGCAGGCATCGACTCTGCGTCCTTCAATTCCCTTCCTACTGGCTTTTTATCAAAGGTAATCTTTCCTTAGACATTTCCCAACTGCTAAATATGCCTACAATCCACCAGCTACCACATAATAAAAAAGTTAAACAAAGTAACAAAACTCAGCAGAAATACTTTGAAGCTGATTAAATCATAAATTTGAATGTTTTCCCGAGGCAGTAAGTAAATAGATATTTTCATGGATGTTGCTACAGAGAGGAAACTGAATCACTCCATAATCCTACAGCTATACAAGATATCGGGTGACAGATTAAAACACACAGGCCCTCCTCTCCACCTCTATGTACCTAGAGCACTAAGTTTCCTTTTCTTGTGAAAAAGCTTCTTGCTGTTTCTGAGTTTGCAGACTCTTAGCTTTGGGCTGTCTCAATACTAGATATTTTTATTCCCCTAAGATTTCAGAATGCATTCAGTTCTTTGTATCTGTCATATTTTCATTTTCCCTCCTTAGACTCTGCATTGCAAAGTCCTTTCCATTTGCGAGTTTGTTTCAACAATGGCAAAGAGGTGGGGACAGCTGGTGCCTTCTGCAGCCACTGTCTCCCTTTACCAAGAAAAAAAAAAAAATCCTCCAACCACGGCCTTAGCACTCCTCACATTTTCTCAGCCAAGAATTTTCTCAGCTACAATGTATTCCATCTTTACAAGCCCACAAGGCCTTTTTGTTTTTTTCTAATTTTCCATTTATATAACTGTGGAGGCTCCAAGCTCCAAGTCGGCTTTCCCAGAGCCTCCACAAAGAGGTTCTCACCCGCCCCCCACATAGGTGACTCACCCAGGAGGAAGGTCTGACAAGGAGGAAAGATGTCTGAGGCTTGGACCTGGGTAGCCACCTTCTGCCAAAAGATCTGTGCCCCCCACTCCCATGCCACAGTTCAGGCCCCAGGGCATGGGTGCCTGCTCCCTTGGCTGAGACTCGAACTGGGATGCCGTTAAGAGATGCAACTCCGGGTCGGGCGTGGTGGCTCACTGACTTCAAGTGATCCTCCTGCCTCGGCCTCTCAAAGTGCTGGGATTACAGATATGAGCCACCACGCCTGGCCTAATGGGATCATTGAAAACAAGCCCCACTACATCAAACAAGTCATCCATATTTAATAACCAATAATATCGTAGATTAGGAAGATCCTATTACCAAAGAGTCCCTAACAACCTCAAAATGAATAGAAGAAAACAGCCCACCTGTCCAAAAGGCCATGATGCTTATACTGTCTTGGGAGTTAATATCTGTAATTCAAGGAAACTGGCACTTTTAAAGAGGATAGGGACATGCAAATTATATTACAGGCAAAGCGTCAACTCTTTTGCTGAGGCCGTCTGAAGCTTTATAGAAACAAGTGCAAAAGTATATTATGGAGCTTAATGAAAAAATAAATTGTGTTTACGTGATCTTAATCACAGTTTTATTATTCTATATTGAGATCCAGCTGGGATCAGGGATTGGGTGGCAAGAAGGGAAGGGGGAGTGCACAGCATATGCGTTACTCTTCCTCTGCTTCTGTGCCCATCAGATGGAGTTACGGCGCTTCCTTCTTCTCCTTCCCTCCCTCCCATCACCACCCAAACTCCATCTCTTTCATAAACAGCATGTAAACGTATCAGTCGCCACTGGGACTTTAAGAACGTCTCCCAGGCATAAGCTGGGAGTGCACTGTCATTGCAGGATACTAGCCCCACAGCACAGGTGGCAGAGTGCAAGAGGTGCATACGTGGAACCTCTGGGGGGACTATTAAGGCCCTCACTAAAACCACTGTGTGTGCAGCACTAAATAAAATGTATTGTGTTGTAGAAATGTATTCTGACCTTTAGAGAGCGAAGGTTAAACTAAATACAATGGGGGCTCTAGCCGTGGCAATGACAATGCTGCCTCGGTCACTCTTAGGCAAAGTCTATCATAGGATTCCACGTAGGGTTACAGGTCGGGCAGAGGGGGGATCCCATTTACTGAGTATCTCCTATGGCCTGCACTCTGTGCTAAGCATATTTAAATCCTTATAAATCCTCCCAACAGAAGGCCTTGGAGGGAGCATGTTTATGGCTAATTTCACAGCTATGAACGTAGGCTCTGAGAGGGTCTTGCCAAACATAATAAACTTCAAAGGCAGGTATGCGAGGCCCCCTGGTGTTCTTGCTATGCCATGCTTCCTCAAAACATTTACTTGTCCTCCTCATACTCAAAGAATCCAAGAGAGATTAGAGACAAGAAACTATCATGTTGAATAAATTGGCCTCTGCCCTCTAAGTTCTGGAATTCCCCAGAGCTGAGCAAGCCTTCCCTTCCCTAGCTCTCTATTTTCTGACTGTGCTCATTCTGCGTCTGCTCTATAACAAGCTCCAGCAGACATTTCCTGTCCTTCCTCCGCAGGCTTTGGCCACCTGCCTTGCTGCCAATGTTTTATTTGACCCTCTACCTCTCCTCTCCTTTTTAATAAACACTTTAAATTCTTGTTGGGAAGAGGATATGGGATGCCAAATTGGATTACTAAGTGAGAACTCAAAATCAAAATGACACAGATCACATTTTACCCCAGTCAACACAAATAGAACAACAAAAACTTAACATATTCAAAACAAAAACACATGATTATAATACTACTTCTGATATGCCAAGCTTACAGTGAAACCTTAATTAGTCAGGCCTCCACTAACTGGCACGCTGAATAACTGGAATTAATTTTTTCTGAATTCTGTTTTTAAGCAAAAGAAGCAAGAGACAGCTAAAGTACATCCACTGCTGGCTGAAAGGAGCAAATTCCAGGCTATGTCCTGGGGCTGGGATCTGTCCACCTCTCCTTCCGTAACTCCTATCTCTCTCCAGCTGGAAAACTCTTTTATGTGCCTGTTAAGTTGTATTTTAAATATCTTTGTGATGGGTAATGTCTTCCCAAACCGCACAGTTTGTCCGTCTTCCTTTAAAATCCCAGATACCTTCATATGTATCTCCCTCTATTCTAGCACGTCCCACCCTAAATGGCCATCATGCTGATATATCTGTTTCCTCCTATGGACCAAGGGCCGAGTTATCACCTACTTCTGTGTTCCAAGAGCACAGCACAAAGCAGATGCTCAAAGGTTGCTTGTTTCAAAGAATAACTGAGGGAATGAATGGAAAACAGAGATCTTTTCTACATTCTTTTTTTTTTTTTTTGGAGACAGGGTCTTACTCTGTTGCCCAAGCTGGAGTGCAGTGGCACAATCTTGGCTCCCTATAATCTCTGCCTCCCAGACTCAAGTTGTTTACAACAAAAACACATGATTATAATCCTCCCACCTCAGCCTCCCAGGTAGCTGGGACTACAGGTGTACCCACCATGCTCAGCTAAGGGTTTGAAAAATTTTTTATAGAGATGAGGTCTCACTATATTGCCCAGGCTGGTCTTGAACTCCTGGGCTCAAGAGATCTTCCTGCCTTGACCTCTCAAAGTGCTGGGATTGCAGGTGTGAGCCACCACACCCAGCCCTTTCCACATTCTATCTCCATCTACACTGCTGTGCTGTGGTACTGAATTTCAGAAGGACGACACGGTAGCCCCCTTAGCCTCAGTTTCAGTTACCTGCCGTCAACTGCGGTCTGAAAATATTAAATGGAAAATTCCACATATAAACAATTAATACAGTTAATAAACAATTTTAAATTGCGAGCCATTCCAAGTAGCTATGAAATCCTGTGCCATCCTACTCTGTCTCACCCAGGATATGAATCATCCCTCTGTCCAGCCCATCCATCCAAACGTTGTCTACACTACCTGCCAGTTAGTCACTTAGAAGCCATCTCAGTTATTGGATTAAAAAACCTTAGTGTACACCTACTATCTGCCATTTCTACATCCACTGGGGTCTTGGGACACACCCCCCTCAGATAAAGCAGGACTACTGCACTGTAATTATCTAAATGGATAAGGATTAAATGAATTCAGTATAACTCAGTGCTAAATAGGGATGCTAAGTTATTATAATACATCCCATGAAGATGTTCAAGTACTGCCTGGCATCATGAAACCAATGGTTAACAGTGAGCATCACTTTTAGTTAAGGTAGCTGTTTAATAAAAGCATTCTTGTCCCTAGACACTCCAGCGACGTGAGATATTGCTCCTCTTAGACTAGCACGAACCATCCATCATACTTCAATGATACTGACAGAAAGCATGTCTCAGCCCTTGGCAAGAAGGCCGAACAATGGAATTCTGGCCCAAGTCCTTGTTAGGGGCAATGTCCTTTGTTTCTGGTTGCATTTACCTTGAGTAGGATTGTCTACATGGAGCCATACTCACAATCGAGGACCAGGCTGGTCTCCCTGAACCAGCATACTTTATACGAACACACCGTTCATGGAAGTGAAATAAGAGGTGCATAAAACAAGATGTTTATTATTGTTATGATGCATGGTACACTATTATTCTATTCTTTTCTTTTCTTTTCTTTTTTTTGAGCTGGAGTCTCGCTTTGTCACCTAGGCTGGAGTGCAGTGGTACAACCTCGGCTCACTGCAACCTCTGACCCCCGGGTTCAAGTGATTCTCCTCCCTCAGCCTCCTGAGTAGCTGGGATTACAGGAGTTCACCATCACGCCCAGCTAATTTTTGTATTTTTAGTAGAGACGAGGTTCCACCATGTTGGCCAGGATGGTCTCAAACTCCTGACCTCAGGTGATCTGCCTGCCTCAGCCTCCCAACGTGCTGGGATTACAGGGGTGAGCCACCGTGCCCAGCCTATTATTTTCTATTCTGTTCTATTTTCTTTTTGTTTTAAGCCAGTCATAACTCACCAAATTGATTTCAGTATCCAGTGATGGGTCAAGACCCAGGCATGAAGAAACCTACAGTCTAAAACCCATTAAATAAGCAGTGTGTATGTCAACTAACTTAACTGATCCCTGATCACTACAGAGAAGGAACACTAGACTATGAAAGAGAGCCTAGCCACTGCCTCTATATTTTGATTCTGCCCAATGATATTTACCAGGTTTTATTTCATGTTCCTAGAACCAATATTATTGCCAATACCACCGCTGCAAGGGAACACTTTAATAGAACAAAAAGAAAAATAAGTGATCTTTAACTTGCATTATACTCATACAATAAGAAATAGACTTTCCATGGGAGATGCAGTAAATAGTTGTTCTCAAACATTTAAAGGAATGACAGAAACCACAATGTTTGCCATCGCAGATTGCAATGCACCACCCCACGCCCCACTCACAAAGCTTGACAGAACCCATTTCATTCCCAGTTGTCATTTTATAAACTGTCAATCATCCATAATATCCACTTCCCTTGAGTTTCAAAACTTGATGAATCATTCTTGGGGTAATCTTTCTTTTTTTTTTTCCTCTTTTTAAAAAATATAACACAATAACATCAAACAACCTCTTCTTTTTGAATGTTATCACCTTAGAGATGGAAAACATGAGACTCTTGAAAACAGGGTATCATCTGGGAGGGCCAGCTATAGCAGATAAATGTCTCAACATGCCCACATTTATACTGGTCCCTAGCCATTTTCACTCTATGTCTCCTACAAAACTAAGATAATAATGATCATGGTTACAATGAAGTCGTATTTCTATTCCAGCAATGATGGCAGCCTGCTGACTGTAATTAGCTACATTTATATGAAATGCTGATAACAGCCAAGGGTTTTACATAAACAATATTCTACTTTTTAACCTTGCCCTAATGAGGCTTCTTCTTAAAATTATATTTAAAAAGCTGGAAAAAAAGGGATGAATATAGCACAGCTATGGACACACCTGCAGTAAGAGTTAATAAACTCCACTAATTGGGTCTTTTGAATAACTTACCCTTTGCACATTTACACACACACACACACGTTTCAAACAGCTGGGAAATTATTCCCAGTATTGGGTGACTTTTGGCTCACCAAGAAGAGTGACTCAAGTATGCAACCCTGCATGATTCATCTATGGAATGCAAACCTTTGAATAAATATGAGAGCTTATTTTGTGACAGCTTTTCATTTCTCCTTTATTGAACTCAAATTTGTCTTTTTTTTTTTTTTTTGAGACGGAGTCTCGATCTGTCGTCCTGGCTGGAGTGCAGTGGCGTGATCTCGGCTCACTGCAACCTCCGCCTCCCAGGTTTAAGCAGTTCTCCTGTCTCAGCCTCCTGAGTAGCTGGGACTACAGGCGCATGCCACCACACCTGGTTAATTTTTGTATTTTCAGTAAAGACGGGGTTTCACCACATTGGCCAGGCTGGTCTCGAACTCCTGACCTCAGGTGACCCACCTGCCTTGGCCTCCCAAAGTGCTGGGTTTACAGGCATGAGCCACCGCGCCCGGCCCACTCAAATTTGTCTTGAAAGTATCTGGGCGACATATGAAAGGTGCTGCTGCTGTTTGACAGAGCCGTTAACTATGCCTCATTGCCTGGTCTGTGCAATGGCAGTGTCTATTACTAAGGTATTAGCAGTTGACCTAGTTCACCAGGAGCCAAGACAGCTGTGGGACTGGACTCCCATGGCCTGTGGGTCTGGTGGCTTCTGTTCCGAGCCCTGCGAGTGAGACCCATTCACAGCACTCGGTGAAATGGCAAATCCAGTCACCCAATCTTTCACCCGACTCCATTCTGTGGTTGAGTGTGTAGGTCCAATAGGAATGGCACCACAGTTGTGTTAAATTCTGGAGAGACTGAGGTTATGGTATTGACCAAAGCTGCTCATTATACAAATATGTGACAAATGACACATTTATTTTTAAAGTGGTTAAACTTCAGAAAAATCCCGGGTGTATTTGACAACTAGTTAGCTATCTTCCTAATAGTAACCAGCTATGGCTTGGATGGAAAAACAACAAAAACAATCAGATGAACTTCTTTGGAAACAACTCTGACCTACTGTAATGTAACACTGGGCATCCCTTTTACATACTAAGCCTCAGTTTCTCTGTAATGGGGACTGTATGATTATAAAATCCCCACTGGTCCCAGTTACTGGCATTATAATCTGAGAGGAACAATGCTCTCTGGCAATAATCTCAGATCATGCGCACTCCTGATGACCTTCGGGCTGCCCCTAGGAAGCACACTGTGGAATCTTCAGGAAGTACCAAAATGGGACAATGTGCCCCTCTCATCCCCAGTGCTACGCATCTTCTTTACCTCTCTCTCCCCAGCTCACAGATGGCCTGGACTTAAATACCAGCTCTGCTGCTCATGGCCACGAGGCTATAAGCAACATATGTGCCTCTGTGCACATGGTTCCTTCTCTTGTAAAACTGGGATCATCATAACTGAACCTACCTCGTATCGGGGATTTAAGAGATGAAATGAGATACACATGTAAAGTCCTAGGCACAGGTGCGGCCCACACTGCTTTCATAGGAAAAGTTAGCTACTGTTATTCCTAGGAACTTGCATTTTTGCATCATTGTTTGTTCAGTGTGCCTTTATCGAGTGTCTTTGTTTCAAGAGGCACAGATGGAGCCCGTCTTCAAGTAGCTCTCAAGAGTGTCAGAAACAGATCCCACACCCTGTACTGTGTTTGCCTGAAACTTAAAAGGGTTCTAAGCCTCTGAGGTGTGGCATATTTAACAGGGGCTTAGCTAGAATATGAGAATGATTTGACAGGAATGTTTCCAACAACCTCACCTCCTCGAGGTTGACCTCAGAGCTTAGACAAATTTCACTTCCTCGCCACCAAGAGCAGCGTCCTCCACCGTCTTCCGTTGTGTGCCAGGGATGGCCAGCTGTCCCTGCACGATTCCTGCTCCCCTATGATGGAACAGAATGCTGCTTCTAGAAAGTGGGTTCCCAGCCTAGGCATACATTTCCAGCACCCCCACTCCCTGCCCTGTGCGTCCAACGGGGAGCCACACAAATGAGCTCTGGCCAAGGAATGTGGGGAGAAGTGATGTACATTGCTTCCAGGGTCTTCATAACTGCGCCCTCTGCCCCACATACCTGATCTACTCATTTCCTTTTCCCTTCTGCTGACTAGAGATACCTATATCTATGTGTGGAATATGGCAGGATCTTGCCTGCCTGGGGCTCCAAACGCATGGCTGGGGAAGAACCCCTGGCCCCCAGCCAAGCTTCCAATAGTACATGGATGAGAAATCCACTTCTGTCACGTTCAGCCCCTAAGATCTGGAATGTAACCACTCTCGGAGAAAAGAACCATAGATTTCCTTTCTAGAAGCAAATGAGTATGTTTGGAGAATGCTCAAACTGCCTGAATTTATGGCAGTCTCCTAAAAAGAATACTGGGAAATGACATGAAGGTCACTGGAAGATAGATACTTAAACATTTTGATGTAGAAAGCCTGGGGTGATCATCACAGACATGTCACTTAAGAAGCCACACTGCCTTAAACAAAATCGAACTGAAAGAGAGGGGGCAATGCAGCCTCTGTGGCCAGAGAGGGCTGGGGTAGACCTTCGTCCTCCCCATCCCCAGGCCAGCCCATACTGGAAGAAGCCTGAGGCCTGTTCAGGGGTGTACTTAAAACAGGGAAATGATGACAAGTAACCGTAATTAATTTATTAAAGTCTTTGTAATCTTTGTGCAGGTTATTTTGGTGTGCTTTTTGTTGGTTGTTTGCAAATCACTTCCGTTTATAAATTCCACAAATAAGCCATTGGAAGTAAAAACCCTTTGGACACTAAAGAATAATGTATGAGATCCCAGCTACTCGGGAGACTGAGGCAGAAGAATCGCTTGAACCCCGGAGGCGGAGGTTGCAGTGAGCTGAGATCACACCATTGCACTCCAGCCTGGGTGACAAGAGTAAATTCCATCTCAAAAAAAGAAAAAAAAAAAAAAAGAAGAATCTATGGGCAACTTAAAAGTGGAAATATGCACTTTTAAATAGCAGTAAATTTTCAATCATAGCCAATAACAGCTTGGATCCAGCCCCTTCTCACCATTTCACTCCTTTAGGCACTGACCTTTAGACTGGAAAGGAGAAAATTTTATGCTTTATACATACGTGGAGAAAGATATTTAGTTAAGAACATTAGAATGTAAGTATGGTCAGTCCTCATTATTCACCGATCTGTATTTACAAATTCACCTGCTGGCTAAAATTTCTTTGAAACTTAGAAATCAATACTTGTGGCAATTTTGTGGTCATTCCTGGACATGGGAGCAGAGGGGAGAAAATTCGAGTTACTGGACATGCACATTCCAGGCTGAGGTCAAACAAGATGACACTGTGCCTTCCTGCTTCAGCTCTCCTACTGTCAACAAGGGTCCTTTCTCTGGGCTATTTCGTGCCATGTCTTTCATATATGTTTGCTTTTTGCTTGAGATTTTGTTTGAAACAGGCCGCAGGCACAGTGCTACAGAGCTACTTAGTGCTCCTAAGCTCAGAAAGGCTGAGTAATATTGGTTGGCTGTGTCCCCACCCAAATCTCATCTTGAACTGTAGTTCCCTTTAATTCCCACATGTGGTGGGAGGGCCCAGTGGGCGGTAGTTGAATCATGGGGGCGGTTACCCCCATGCTGCTGTTCTCATGATACTGAGTTGTCACAAGATCTGATGGTTTTTATAAGGAGCTTCTCCCTCTTGCACAGCACTTCTCCTTCCTCCCACCACGTGAAGAAGAACATGTTTGCTTCCCCCTTTGCCATGATTCTAAGTTTCCTGAGGCCTCCCCAGGCCTGCGCAACTGGGAGTCAACTAAACCTCTTTCCTTTATAAATTACCTAGTTTCTGGTATGTCTTTATTAGCAGCATGAGAATGGACTAATCTATGACGCCTTACAGAGAAAATATGTGTGTTATGTAAGCTTTGTTCAGCTGTGGGTTATATTGTGCTGTTGGCTGTGAACTCGATGCTAAATGAATCAAAAATATACTAAGGGACTTCAAAAAGTTCGTGGAAAATGAGTATTACGAAAAAACTATGCATGAATTTCCATTTTTTTTTTGCACCAAAATAAATGTGTACTAGCTTGCTACAACATGTTTAGACAGGATCTAGTTTGAGACAGTAAGAAGGAAAAGACGTCATTTTGAAAAGAGCCCCTATCAGAGCAACATGAATTCTGCTAAAATTGAAGCAAGAACAAACTGCAAATTTATGGTGACACTTGTGTGGAGGAATGGTGAAATCATTGATGCCTTATGAAAAGTTTATGTGGACAATGCCCCAAAGAAATCAGCAGTTTCCAAATGAATAACTTGTTTTAACAAGTTGATGTGGAAGATGAAGTCCACGGCGGCAAACCGTCCTCATCAATCAGCAAGGAAAAAAAAAATCATCTTGTTTTTTTTTTTCAAGTTACAGCCCTAACTGTAGAGGACTAATGATTAACAGCAGAAGCAACAACCAACACCACAGACATCTCAATTGGTTCAGCTTACACAATTCTGACTGAAAAATTAAAGCTGAGTAAACTTTCCACTCTATGGGCGCCAAAACCACTGAGCTCAGCTCAGCTTCAGACAAGAGCAGAGATCTCAACGGAAATTTTCAACAAGTAGGATCAAGATCCTGAAGCATTTCCTTGAAGAACTGTAACAGGAAACAAAACACGGCTTTCCCAGTACAACGCTTTTTCCCAGAAAAAGCACAATCAGAGCAATGGCTACCAAGAAGTAGAAGAGGTCGAGTCACAGCAAAAGCAGACCGGTCAACAGCAAAAGACATGATCACAGTTCTTTTGGACACTCAAGGCATTTTGCTTGCTGACTTTCTGGAAGGCCATAAAATAATATCTCCCTATTATGAAAGTGTTTTGAGAAAGTTAACCAAAGCCTTAGCAGAAAAATGCCTGAGAAAGGGTCACCAGAGAGTCCTTCGCCACCATAACAAGGCTCCTGCTCATTCCTCTCATCACACAAGGGCAATTTGGGGAGAATTTCAGTAGGACATCATTAGGCATCCCCCTTACAGCTCTGATTTGGCTCCTTCTGATTTCTTTTTACTTCCTTATCTTAAAAAAAAGAATCTCTAGGCCGGGTGCAGTGGCTCATGCCTGTAATCCCAGCATTTTGGGAGGCTGAGGTAGGCAGATCACGAGGTCAAGAGCTCGAGACCATCCTGGCCAACATGGTGAAACCCCGTCTCTACTAAAAATACAAAAATTAGCTGGGCGTGGTGGCACGTACCTGTAGTCCCAGTTACTTGGGAGCCTGAGGCAGGAGAATCGCTTCAATCCAGGAGGCGGAGGATACAGTGAGCCGAGATCACACCACTGCACTCCAGCCTGGTGACAGAGCGACACTCCGTCTCAAAAAAAAAAAAAAAAAATTCTTTAAAGGGCATCATTTTTCTTCAGCTAATAATGTAAAAAACACCACACTGACATGGTTAAGTTCCCAGGACCCTCAGTTCTTTAGGGATGAACTAAATGGTTGCTATCAGCACTTACAAGTCTCCCGACCTTGATGGAGATTATTTTGAGAAATAAAGTTCATATTTAAATTTTTTACCTGTTAATTCCATTTTCCCATGAACTTTTTGAAGTCTCCTCATATATTAAATGAGGTGTCTTTAAACAGAAACACACATAAAACAGGTTATGTATTGACATATATAAAACGAGGTTATAAAAATGTGTTCTCAGAGGCTGGAAGTGAACTAACCCTGTATTTCCCCTAGAAGCAATGGTTCGGTATTCACTAATCCAGTATACATGGTAACTGTAAATGTCTTAAACATTCCTGAGGATGAGGCTATTTTTAAATTTCATGAACAACTATTTTGCATCAAGTGACATCATGAGTTTATGCATCAAATAACACCATGTAAAACTCTTGGGCAAGTATTATGTTTCTGCAGTTTAGGCACACTGAAAAACTGTATTACGCCTGACAACGGAGTAGTATTTATAATGTCACTACTTTTAGAAAACTTGGCCCAACCAGTATCACTATTTCAGTAAATGGCAGCCATTCCAAGGCCACACAGCTTTCCTGTCAAACCAACAATTCCTGCCAAGTAAACTGAATGGACTTCATAGGATTTAGTAACTAACTGCTGAAAATTACAAGAGCCATTTCCTGCAGGAGGCCGCCTTCCACTGCCCGCAAAGCCTACTGACCTTTCACACCCCATGGCTGTGAAATGGACACAGCCCACAGCCTCTACTCCAGACCCTCAGCAACGCCCGGCCAAAATCCAGACTGACGGCAGAGGTTCGGGAACTTCGGTGAAATGCAGGAAAAGTACCCGTGTCAAGGGTCTTCCACTTGTCCTTGATTTTCAAAAAACATCTTTGCATTTGGCTGGGTGGAGTGGCTCACGCCTGCAATCCCAGCACTTTGGGAGGCCAAGGCGAGCAGATCACCTGAGGTCAGAAGTTTGAGACCAACCTGGCCAACATGGTGAAACCCTGTCTCTACTAAAGATCCAAAAATTAGCCAGGCATGACGGTGGGCACCTGTAATCCCAGCTACTCCGGAGGCTGAGGCAGGAGAATCGCTTGAACTGGGAAGGCGGAGGTTGCAGTGAGCTGAGATTGAGCCATTGCACTCCAGCATGGGTGACGGAGCGAGACTCCATCACCAAAGGAAAAAAATATTTGCATTCTCAAAATACTTAGCGACGCTGCTGCTCCAGTTGAATCTAGTCTCCTATTCTCCATCTTTGTTGCTTTACGTTTAGCAATGAAGTAACAAGCCAGGAGGTTAAAAGTAGAGAAACATTTTCTGGTCCCTAGAGAATCCATAGACAAATTCTAGTCTGTTTCTAGCTCTGGTTCTTGGACATATGAAAGGTTGAATCATTTTGAGAGATTTTAGGACTATTTAACTCAAATTTGCCTCCACATTTCCCTCTAAATTCTGGGTGAAAATCTGTTAATTATAAATATACCCTACTTTGACCCATACCTTCCATGGATTGCCCCTAAGCCGGGCTATTTTTTTAAGGCAACTCATATCGAATTTAGTGTCATTTTTTTCTCCTTTCTAAGTTCAGTGAGAAGTCGTACAAGTGTGACAGCAAACACTGCTTAGCTGGGAACCCTCTGATCTACTTTGAAAGGATCCAGGCAGATAAATATCCTAGAATATTAAAGAAGACTGCAAAGATGGAGAAGTTTCTAAGCATGAACTGTGTGTATTTATAGAAAACTGACACATCTTCATAAGCTATTTTCTTCGAAGGTCCCATTTTCCTATGAAAGCAAGAATTTGAAATTTATTACTACAACTACTTGTTCTATTGAGTAGAAAATTCTGAGGCTTCCAAATACAATGAAGAAGAACATCAAGAATTGCAGGTAGAATTCCGCCAGTAATGGCAGCTATTAGAGAATGACATTTTCATCTATTAATACAATTACTGTTGAACATGAATATGAATATACAACTGAAGGAGACGGCTATTTGTGAAAGCATTCCGAGTCTTGGGATAATTTTTGTTTGTTTGTTTGTTTGTTTTTGAGATGGAGTCTCGCTCTGTTGCCCAGGCTGGAGTGCAATGGCACGATATAGGCTCACTGCAACCTCGGCCCGCTGGGTTCAAGCAATTCTTCCACCTCAGGCTCCTGAGTAGCTGGGATTACAGGTGCACGCCACCATGCCCGGATAATTGTTGTGTTTTTAGTAGAGACGGGGTTTCGCCTTGTTGGTCAGGCTGATCTCAAACTCCTGACCTCAAGTGATCCTCCCACCTCGGCCTCTCAAAGTGCTGGGATTACGGGCATGAGCCACCAGGCCTGGCCAATTGAAATACTTTTAAAGCAGTGATTTTTAAGTTTTTTCCCACCCCAGGACAATTATTGAAAAATCTGGTAAATAGGCTCATATGTCTACTTACAAGACAAAAGTATGGCAAGATTTCCAAAGAGGTCAAATAATATTCGTTTATTTTATTTTATTTTGTTTTTGAGATGGAGTTTAACTCTTGTTGCCCAGGCTGGACCCAGGCTGGAGTGCAATGGCGCAATCTCAACTCACTGCAACCTCCACCTCCCGGGTTCAAGCGATTCTCCTGCCTCAGCCTCCCAAGTAGCTGGGACTACAGGCGTCCGCCACCAGGCCCAGCTAATTTTTTGTATTTTTAGTAGAGACGGGGTTTCACTATGTTGGCCTGGCTGGTGTCAAACTCCTGACCTCATGATCCACCCGCCTCGGCCTGCCAAAGTGCTGGGATTACAGGCGTGAGTCCCCATGCCCGGCCAGTATTCCTTTATTTTTTAACTGACTACATTCCGCATGGATTGTATCACAGAACCATTAAATTTAAAAGCTGGGTGGGACTTCAACACCTCTATCCAGGGTAACCAAAACATGGTCATTAGTAACAAAAAGGAGACAGCCCAAAGGACCCTCAGGAGATCTGTGGGCACTTTTTCACGGCACTGCATCCCACAGTGACTACAGCACCACACCCTTTTACGTGATGTGAAATAGTAACTTTTACTTAAAATGCTTAACCACGTGAGACCTTATTCCATCATCATGCGCTTGTTCTAATGCGGTGGCTACAGGGCCAGGGAGGAGAAGGGAGGAAGCTGAGCTGGGAGTAGGTAGTGCTGAAGCTCAAGGAGCTGGCCTATGAAGGGCACGCCTTGGGGACAGAGGCTGTGGAGGCAGGACATGGCTCTTTGGAAAGTCACAATGTGCAGCCCATATTGGAGGGGTGGGGACTTATGTTCGCCCTCTACGTGAAGGTCACCTCTTCAGAGAACCGTTTCTGATCCACAGTCCTAAAAGAAACTCCAAGTCATTCTCCGTCTGTCCTTCCATCCCATGTACTTTAATGGGATCTTTTCTTGTTAATGTATCATGTCCTGCTTTATCATCTGTACTACAATATAAGCTCCTATATTAGGGTTCTCCAGACTCCAGAAAACAGAACCAATAGGATCAATCTACCCTATATCTATGTATCTATGTATCTACCTATGTATCTATCTATCTATCTATCTATCTATCTATCTATCTATCTATCGAGAGATTTATTTTAAGGAATTGGTCCACTCCAACGAGGATTTATTTATTTATTTACTTACTTATTTTTTATACCTGAGTGTATCTTTATTGTACACTTACACATCCATGACAGTTTAGCAAAATACAAAATTACAGGTTTAAAGTTTGTTTCTTTGTAATACTTTGACAATATTTGCCCGCTGTGTTTTCTGTATCCAGTGTTGCTTTTGAGAAACCTGACAGTAATCTAATGCCTGTTCCTTTGTAGGCCTTTACTCCCTGACTGGATGCTTTCATAATTTTCTCTCTGTCTTGGGTGATTAAAATAAACGTGTCATCCTCTATGGCAGTTTAGGAGTCTTTCAATCTTACATCTTCCAACTTTAATTCTGGAAAAATTATACAGTTATATTTTAATATATATTATATGTATTTTATATATTATATATTTATATATGATATATTTTTATATATTATATATTTTATATATAATATATATTTTATACATAATATATATCATATATATTTTATATAATATATATTTTATGTTATATATCATATATATTTTATATATGATATATAACATATATATTTCATATTTTATATATGATATATAACATATATATTTTATATTTTATATATGATATATAACATATATATTTTATATTTTATATATAACATATAACATATATATGTTATATATTATATATACTTTATATATTATATTTTATATATTTTATATATAATATATATTTTATATTATGTATAATATATATTATATATTATACATAATATATATTATATATTATACATAATATATATTTTATATTATACATAATATATAATATATATTATATTATATATAATATATATTATGCATAATATATATTATATATTATATTATATATAATATATATTATGCATAATATATATTATATATTATATAATATATATTATACATAATATTTTTTATATATTATATATATAATATATATTATATGTATATTTTATATATATTATATATATTTAATATATATTATATATATTATATGTATATATAATATATATTATATATTTTATATATAATATATATTATATATTTTATATATGTTATATATATTTTTATATATATTATATATATATTTTATATATATATTTAGAAACAGGGTCTTGCTCTGTCCCCCATGCTAGAGTGCCATGGTGCAATCTTAGTTCACCGTAGCCTCCAATTCCTGAGCTCAAGTGAATCGAGGATTTATTTTGAGGAATTGGCTCACACAATTGTGAGGGCTGTCAAGTCCAAGACCTCTAGGATAAGCCAGCAGGCTGGAAATATTACAGTTTTGTGTATGAAATCAACAGAGCGGGCCAGGTAGGCTGGAAACTCAGGCAGAGTTTCTTTTTTAGGGGGGGACAGGGTCTCACCCCTTGTCACTGCTTGGAGTGCAGTGGTACAATTATAGCTCACTGCAGCCTCGACACCCATGCTCAGGTGATCCTCCCACCTCAGCCTCCTGAGGGCCCCCTCACCATGTCCACCTAGGCTTTTTTTTGTTTGCTTGGTTTTTGTTTTTGTTTTTTGGTATTTTTTGTAGAGGTGGGGTTTCACTACATTGCCCACGCTGGAGGCCAAATTCTGTCTTCTTTGGGAAAACCTCAGTCTTTGTTCTTTTTTTAGAGATGGAGTCTCGCTCTGTTGCCCAGGCTGGAGTGCAGTGGTGCAATCTCAGCTCACTGCGACCTCTGCCTACCGTGTTCAAGCAATTCTCCTGCCTCAGCCTCCCAAGTAGCTTAGACTACAGGCGCACGCCACCATGCCCGGCTAATCTTTTGTATTTTTAATAGAGACGCGGTTTCACCATGTTGGCCAGGCTAGTCTTGAACTCCTGACCTCAAGTGACCTACCCGCCTTGGCCTCCCAAAGTGCTGGGATTACAGGTGTGAGCCACCAAGCCCAGCTAGTCTTTGCTCTTAAGACCTCAACTGATAGGATTAGGCCCACCCACATTATAGAGGATGATCTGCTTTACTCAAAGTCTACTGATTGAAATGTTAATCACAGCAGCATCTAGCCTAGTGTTTGACCCAACAAGCGGGCACCATACCTCAGCCACATTTTCACATAAAATTTGCCATCACAGCTCCTTCAAACAGGATCCCTGCCTGCCTTATTCACTGCTAATTCCTATTACCTACAACATTAGAAGACGCTCCATCTTTGTGTGGTCAGAGAATCAATGAATTTCTTTCCTGGGAATTGTTTATGTCCTTTGTCTGACTTTCCTACTTAAATACCTTATACTTTCCTTACTGATTTGTAAAGAACACTTTAATGAAAATAAAAAGGAACACTTGGTCAGTTAAATGTTTTTGCAACATATATCTTGTTTCCCTTTATTTTTAAATTGTTTTGGCTATGAAGAAGTTTTTTCTTTTATTTGTATGAAGTCAAGGTTACCAACATTATTGTTTATGGCTTCTCAATTTACTTCATGCTTAGAAAGGGTTTTGCAACTCCATATAATAAACAACGTTATGACATTTCATATTTTATTATTTTATAGTTAAATCTTAGGTACATCTTTTTGTATGAAAAAGCAAGATAAACATCTGTTTTCCCTAAATTACTTGCACTATGTATTAAACAATCTACCTTTCCTACTGGCCTGAAATATTTTCCCTAACATATACCAAAGTGTGTATATGTGTGTATTCTTGTGTAACTGAGAAGGAGCATCTATTTCTGAACTCTTTCCTTTGTCTTATTTGTCTTGCATCAATAGCACAACAGAAGAAGCAGGTGACATTCTATGACCAGATTATTCAATAGGCTAATTTTGCAGCTGAAATCAACTATGAAGGCGCCATCCAATGCCTGCTGTGTGAAATCAAACAAGTGCTCTTAATACAGCCCTTTGTGCTACAGAAAAACAATTCAACCATTTGGCTTAAATAATTTTACCTTTAAAAAAAATCATGAGCAAAACAGAAGCTGCCAGGTCGTTAAACTCTGTCAGTCATAAAAGCCAAAGTGGGCTAGACAGGAAGGTCAGAGGTAGTCCCACAGCTGCAGAAGAATCAGTATCACTTGCCTTCATTGTTGCTGGCCACCTCAACATTTATACCATAGGATGTAATTTACAAGTAATAACATGCACATAAATGTAACGCGAATTACACATAAATTTACATGTAAGTGTTGATTGGTTATTCAAGGCTTTCTCCCCCTCCTCCTCTTCACTTTATTCACAGAGGGGATGCACCACATATACTGCATATTAAAATATAGAGGAGCAGATGCGGTGGCTCATGCTTGTAATCCCAGCACGTTGGGAGGCCGAGGCGGGCGGATGACAAGGTCAGGAGTTCAAGACCAGCCTAGCCAAGAGACCAGCCTGGCCAATATGGTGAAACCCTGTCTCTACTAAAAATACAAAAAATATGAGCTGGACGTGCTGGTGGGCACCTGTAATCCCAGCTACTTGGGAGGCTGAGGCAGGAGAATTCCTTGAATCCCGGAGGCAGAGGTTGCAGTGAGCTGAGATCGCACCACTGCAATTCAGCCTGGGCGACAGAGCGAGACTCTCACTCAAAAAAAAAAAAAAAAAAAAAAAAAAAAATATATATATATATATATTTATATATATATATATATATATATATTTATATATATATATATATATATATATATAGAAAACTTCAGCCCTGTAGCAGATACCCAACCTCTCTCGTCCACAGAGTTTCCCTCCCCATGAACAAGTGCCAATTGATACCGACACTGGAGGCTGCCTTCCTATTTCCTACTATTTCATGCAGCAGTCCAATTTCTAGAAAGCTCACCCACCCCAGCCTTTCTTCAGTTGCAAGCATCCCTTTACAGTCAGTCTTCAGTAAGTTGAGGGAAAGAAAGAGCAAGTTTCCAGATACCCTCTTTGCCGTTTCAGGGATTCATGGTTCAGCCACGCAGGTGTGATTGTTTGCATCATGGAACTATGGTGTTGACCTGTCATCTCTGACTTGAGTTGACTTTGTGAAACGACGCCCCCAGTCAACAGAGAGAAAGGGCTCCCTGTGGCTAAAATGACAGATGAAAAACAACACCTAGTGGCCATAACAGGGTGAGGGGTTGGTCACGTATCCCGTGTTACTAAGTGCCACAAGGCTTTCTTTTCTGTAATCAAACAGAAACCAGCTACTAAAAAACATCGTCAAAACAAGCACAGTGAAAACTTTCCCAACTGCCCCCAACTGCCTGACACCAGCTCTCCCAATCCCCATGACCCTCACCCCCGCACCACGCAGTCCTGCAACAACTCAGAGGACTGGCCTCATGGCTTTATAAACAATCTTTCCTCATAAACAGTCACAGACCTTAGGCCAGTTTCAGCCAGCTTAGAGAGACTGCACACAAACTGTGCGTCTGCAGTTCATCTTTTGACATAGGAGCCAAATTCTACCTCACTGTGAGGCTAAAACACAGCCTCAAAGTGAACATGAGATGTGTGTTACATATATGTTTATCTACTACACAGGCACTTGACCCCCCTCATAAATATTCACAGATTTCTCCCAAATCTACTAAATACGTACATAAGACAGGTCTCGTAAGGCATAAATAACAACTTCGCCCTCCCTTCTACAGGCTGTGCTTCTGTTTTACACTGGAGGCTGCGTCTCTCCAATCTACAGATTGTTTCTTATAGAAAATGACTCTTCCTCCACAAATCTCATGGTCTTTTATTAACAACCTCCATAATAGATACTGAGATATGAAATGAGTCAAGACACAGTATATGGAACAATGGCTGGCACAGGAAGTACTCCATAAATGGTGGCTACACATATTTCTGGCAGTTCTCTGGGTCACCAGGTCTACAGTCATGTGAGACAGGCGTTCAACACAAGGCCTGAGTGAAGCTATCAGGTCCACACGGAGATGGAAGAGAAATGACCAGCCACAGCCACAGAGCACGAGGCCGTACTCAGGTCACAGGACAGTGCTACTGTCAACACCAAGTCACAAAACAACATAAATATTTGCCAGCACCGACAATCTCTGTACATGACAGCCCTCCGTATGTTAATGTCTTGTTTACTTTGTATAAACCTTTCAATCAAAGGTTGAACTCCAAACCAGAATGAACCATAAAAATGAATTCACCCAACATAGACCTCATTTTCCCCCCACTTAATAATAAGCTGAATATAAAGACATTTTAAATTATAAATAGCAGGCTCAGTTCAAACCATTTCTTTTTTTTTTTTTGAGGTGGAGTCTCGCCCTGTCGCCCAGGCTGGACTACAATGGTATGATCTCGGCTCAACGCAACCTCCACCTCCTGGGTTCAAGCGATTCTCCTGCCTTAGCCTCCCGAGTAGCTGGGATTACAGGCATGCACTACCAGGCCTGGCTAATTTTGTATTTTTAGTAGAGATGGGGTTTCACCACGTTGGTCAGGCTGGTCTCCAACTCCTGGCCTCAGGTGATCCGCCCGCCTCGGCCTCCCAAAGTGCTGGGATTACAGGTGTCACCACCACGCCCGGCAAGTTCAAACCAATTCTTAATATCTACTCTTGTGAGAAAACCACTTCACGGGTACTTTTACCTGAGTTTTCTGTTCAAATGCATTTTAAATGTGGGATGAGGGTGAGAGAGAAACATGACTTCTTTATGAAGCAGGTGGTCAAACTACTAACAGGCGAAATAGGTTACTAAAGAGTATAGTTTGTTTAGTTAATGAGTATACTTAACCAATTAATATCGTTTCAGCTTTGCTTGAAAGAGCAGGGGTGGGCAGGAGGAGAGAACTGAGTAAATGACTAAAGTTGGTGCCCCAAGCTGGTTGCTTAGGGAAACCTCCTGAGACAACAGAGAGTCACCCCAACAGAGTGAGCATCATGTCCTTCCTTTCAGTTTAGTCCAAGTTGTATGAAGCAGGAAGGCAATGGGTAGAACACCATCCTCCCGCTGCTAAGCATTCTATGGGACTGAAGAGAAGGGAACTTAATATTTTCTCCCTCAGAAGCCTGAATCACCTTCTCAAAAATCTGAAAGAATGGGCTGGGCGTGGTGGCTCACGCCTATAATCCCGGCACTTTGGGAGGCCGAGGCAGGTGGATCTGCTGAGGTCAGGAATTCAAGATCAGCCTGACCAACATGGTGAAACCCTGGCTCTACTAAAATACAAAAATGAGTCGGGCATGGTGGAGGGCACCTGTAATCTCAACTACTCAGGGGGTAAGGCAGGAGAATCTCTTGAAACCAGCAGGCAGAGGTTGCGATGAGCTGAGATCGCGCCATTGCACTCCAGCCTGGGCGACAAGAGCGAAACTCTGTCACAAAAAAAATAAAAAATAAAAAATAAAAGAATGTAACTCATTTTAGAGACATCTGAGGCTAAACTAATGCTGCCAGCGTTTTGGAAATTAAAGGAATTCTAGGCCCTTGAAGGATCTGCACAACGTCACGACCTCCTTTGTGGATCTTAGGGTTCACAAGGAGTTTTCTCTGCAAACATGGCAAGAAAAAAAAACTGGTAAAATTAAGGCCCCAAATTCTACTGACCTGTTTGTAATTCTTTAAATCTTTCTCTCCTATATGTACCTTTTTTTCCAGAGGCTAAAGAGAAGTTAGTAATTAGATTGGTTTGTATTTAATCATATTTCAATAAATGATTTAGTTTTTTGGGGATGAAAGCAGAACTATGTTCCAGATGCTACGACACTAAGATTCAGTCATTCACACTAAGCAGAGTTTTGCCAACCCAGCCCCACAGGTGTAACCATAAGCCACGTGTTCACCCAGTACCCAGGAGAGACTTCAGGTGGAGAAAGAACTAAATAGGTCCTTAAAGGGTAGACTGGAAAAGGTAATGACACATGTCACAAGGATATTGCCTAACCTTACTAAACAAATCAGAACATGAAATACTTTGTCAGCAGAGCCTGCATTAAATGGATATTTCATTCGCCTTAATTCCCTCCTGTTTTGTGTCATGCCCATTTTTAGTAGGCAGCGATTGTTTTCAACTAACTTTAACACCTACATCAGACATACAGATCATTAATCAGTTGTATTTATGGCTATACTCAAAGACTATCGATCACTGAAACATGCTGTTCTTGGGCTTATGAGTCAAGATGTTCCTGAGACCTTGAGAACCTTGGGAGGAAGGAACAGGAGGTATATTGGCAAGAAAGCACAATCTATTACAGCCTTAGAGCTCATCAATGGGGAGGAAAATTCCTGACACTGTAGCCTGCAACAGCTGTGAACTTCAGCATCCCCTCTTTTTGATTTGTCTCCGGAATTGAGAGATCTGGCTTTGCTTTCAGTCATGGCTCTCTTGTTTGCACTGGGGCAAATGATGCCTCCTGTCCTAGTGTGATGCCTTCCACCCTTTGTCTTGGACACTTCTGAGCTGTACATATGCCTTTGGTTTAATGATTTGATCATGTGCCTTTGGTTTCAAGATTTGCTCATGTGAGAATATAATTTAGTTAGAATTTAGACGCCAATCACCACCATCCATCAGCCACTTCACATTACAACAAAATTAGGAGCTCGTCAGCTCACAGAGATTCCACAATCATATATTGAAGTCGTAACGGGAATCAAACTGCACCTTTTCAGCTACTACAAATGTAAAACCCAGTAGGGAGAAAACAGATGTAAAAAATTTCTGGCACATGGTTTTGGGGCACAACGCAGGAGGCATTGTGTTAAAAGGCACTTTGTCAAAACATGCTGTGTATTTTTTTTTTTTTCTGAGCATAGTATCAATAAATCAAAGAGAATAGCTGGTCCTGAATCAACATAAATTGTTCAGTGAGATAATTAAAGACCCAAGTCATTAAGGGCTCAGTACGAAGGCTGATATTAAAAATGAATATGTTCTGAGAGTGGACCACTTCAGGTCTCTTCCTATTTCAAGTATATTACACATCCCTGTACCTACCTCCTTCTCTCAATCATATCTCTCTACAGAGGAAGATTTTACGCTCTGATTGCGCCAGAAAAATGAAATTTTTTTGTCATATTGATAACTGACTCTCACTGCTGTGAGAATTATTGGTGGTATGAAAATAATTACTATTTGAGGTTGGTAGTCAAAGATCCAGTCTGCTAGAGGGAACTAAAGGTTTTTATGGATCTGGGAAGTGATTTTTATAATTAAGCCTTAAAGCCATGGGAAGAAGTACAAATAGAGCCTGTTTAATCTTTTTTAATATGGTAAAAAATTCAAATAGTACAAGTGTATACAGTAAAAAATGTTTGCTTCCCACTCCAAACACCCAATCTTCCCTCTGAGAATTAAGCCTAGCAGTTTTCTATATATTCCTCCGGACACTTCCTGTACAAATAAGCAGATATGTTTCTATATAACTCTGTTTTAAGCCATAAATAAAAGTATATATGGCCAGGTGTGGTGGCTAATGCCTGTAATCCCAGCACTTTGGGAGGCCGAGGTGGGTGGATCATTTGAGGTCAGGAGTTCCAGACCAGCCCGACCAACATGGTGAAACCCTGTCTCTACTAAAAATAACAAAAAATTAGCTGGACGTGGTGGTGCGTGCCTGTAATCCCAGCTACTTGGGACACTGAGGTAAGAGAATCGCTTGAACTTGGGAGGCGGAGGCTGCAGTGAGCCGAGATCGCACCATTGCACTCTAGTCTGGGCAACAGGAGCGAAACTCCATCTCCAAAAAAAATAAATAAATAAATAAAAAGTATGTACTACTACAACATCATGCATGGTACTTATTCATTAACATCATATCTTCGCAATCGTTCCATATCAACACGTACAAAGTAACCTCATCCAGGGCATATTCCTAAATATGTATATGGCACAGATGATGGGACTGTCAATGTGTGAACAATGTTAACTTCCAAACAGGCTAAAGTGAGCAGCAAAGAGCCTTAGAAAGAAAATGAACCCCTGCAACTACTGCTGTTCCAGCTGGTAGGTGTACATTTCAAGGCTCTCACTGTAGCCACTGTGATTCTAATCCAGAAAACTGTGTGTCTTTATCTACACAGTGAATGTATCAGCTCTCTGGGCCATAGCAGAGGGGGCAGCTGTAGTCTGGAAGTGCTGGAACAAAGTAAGATGTACTTGAAGGGCAGAGCAGAAAAGGCAGAGAAGTCCCACCTAATCCTCATAATCTCCGGCACAACTTTCCCGAAGAGCCGAAAATTCCCATGACTGCCCACTCATCTGTTCTGAAAGTGAGAGTCTGTCTCTAGGCGCTCGCCAGTCCTTCATCTTCCATGACTTGTTTCCACTCGAAAATGCCATCCTTTCTCTCTCAATCTCTCCAGCCCAGGATGATTGAGAACAGGGAGACAGTGAATCACCAGCGAGAAGGCCTAGGGTGACTTTTCTGAATAAAAATATGCATAATTCAGCAGCTGGAGAACTATTCCTGGAAACAGATGATGAACAGCCCAGGCTCTTTATAAAGGGCTGGGGTCAATTTCCTACTGGCTAAGCAAGTCGTACTTCTTAGGAAGGCATATCTTTGACCCAACTTAATACTGTAGCTATTATTGAGTCCTGGTGGCTCTTCTGAACCTGAGAAGCACAGTCATCAGTACTGAGTCCTTGTAAAAGATGCAGAAACTCAGATATATCTGGTGTTTCCAAATGGTTCTAACACTTATCTACAACTAAAGGTCACTAAAGGTTCTAGTACAGCAGAGTTAGTAATGACTATTGCTTTTGTTTGTTCGTTTTTGAGACAGAGTCTCGTTCTGTCGCCCAGGCTGGAGTGCAGTGGCATGATCTCGGCTCACTGCAACCTCCGCCTCTCCGGTTCAAGTGTTTCTCCTGCCTCAGCCTCCCGAGTAGCTGGGACTACAGGCATGCACCACCACGCCTGGCTAATTTTCGTATTTTTAGTACAGACGGGGTTTCACCATGTTGGCCATACTGGTCTCGAACTCTTGACCTCAAATGATTCACCCACCTCGGCCTCCCAAAGTGTTGGCGTGAGCCACCGCGCCCAGCCAGTAATGGCTGTTGTTAAAGACCTTTGGAAAACAAGGCTTAACTCTAGGAACCTTTGAAAAACATTATCTGCTTACAGACCTTGTTGAACTCTCAGGAGGCAGCTGTTCTCCTCCAATTCTAGTTGGAGCATTATATATGAACCACCCTGGATAAATGTTTGCCTGTTTTATACAGTAAACTTTGTTTCTAGAGTTTAAAGATCTTGACACTAAATAAATAGCACCATGATAAAAAAAAAAATTGGCCAAACTCCCAACATCTTCTGAATATATTCTCTTAGTGTTTTCTTTTCATTACAAGAATTACAAATAGGGATGTATAATATATATTTACACAAGAAGCTGACCAGTCACATTGTCTTTACCAACCACGGCTATAGGAACTTGTTCAATTCATACTGTGATGTGATTTTTTAAAAATAAGTGATCACTTAAAAATTATGTTAAAACAGTCCCACGATTTGGATGCCTTTTAGTATTTAGATCATGAATTGATCATCTTCTACTATATTGAGGAATACATTTTTTTTTAAATTAGTTATCTTCTTTGAGGAGCCTAACCAAGGGCTTATAACCTAAAATACCTGGAGCCTGTTCTTCCAAACGACTTGGCATAATTCAGCAGAAAATATCCTGGTTGTGGCTACTTCCGAGATACCCCCTTCTCTGACCCAACACAGTTTCTCTCCTTTCTTAGCACATCTGACCCTACAGAGACGCCGTTGGATATCACTGATCCATCCACCGAAAACATCAAAGTTCTCAATGTCACAAAACTCAAAGTTCTCCTCTGTTCCAGGAAGAATGTTAGCTTCTTAAAATGCTAACTATTAGAAAACACCACTGCAACCGGGTCCCTGCACACAGGCCTCTCTGACTTGTCTTAAGCAGCACAAACTGGCCGCTGGGCTCTGTAGCAAGTGTATACTAGTGATGTCTGTACACATCACTACTCTCAAAGACAAGAAATACCCTGTCCTTCATTTTTGCTATTCCTTACGGCCTAATTTGTATGTTTTAACGACATTAAATGTCACATTTGTATGCAATGAAACCTCATCATTTTCAGAGTGCACTCATGCATCTATGATGAGTGAAAAATAACATGTCTAGTTGCCCTGAAATGTTTTCAGTCTCATTTGCTTAGTCACTAGGGGTCTGAATAAGTGGTTATTGGAGGGGTTGATGAAAATAAAGGTATAATGTTGAATTTAAAAATTGTACTTATAGATTAGTCCATGTTACACACACACACACACACACACACACACACACACACACACACCTGGATTCCTAAATTCATTTACTTCATAATTTATTATGAACCTATTATGTACCAGGCATTGTGCATCTTCGGCCTTAAGGATGCGAAATTACTAAAACAATGATCCTGTTTTCAAGAAGCTCATAGTCAGAAGAGACAGACTAAATGAGAGCAAAATAAATCATGATAAAAACCACATAAGGAGCACAGTGAAAAAAGACAGGAAGGGCTATCACAGAACAAGTGTAACATTATCCATCGGTCCATCTTGAGAGTAAAAAGTGCCACTGAAGTTAGCACCATATATCTAAAATTTTAATTTATGAATTGATAAATTGGTTTTTATCATATTGGTAGGCTTATAAAAAGAATTTTATGGCCAGGTGCAGTGGCTTACACCTGTAATCCTAGCACTTTGGGAGACCAAGGAGGGCGAATCACCTAAGTCAGGAGTTTGAGACCAGCTTGGCCAATATGGCGAAACCCCATCTCTACTAAAAATACAAAAATCAGCTGGGCGTGGTGGTGCGCACCTGTAGTCCCAGCTACTCGGGAGGCTGAGGCAAGAGAAACACTTCAACTGGGGAGGCGGAGGTTGTGGTGAGCTGAGATCACGCCACCGCACTCCAGCCTGGGCAACAAAGCGAGACTCCATCTCAAAAAAAAAAAAAAAATTAGCTGGGTGAGGTGGCATGCACCTGTAATCCCAGCTACTCGGGAGGCTGAGGCAGGAGAATCGCCTGAACCTGGGAGGCAGAGGTTGCAGTGAGCCGAGATTGCACCATTGCATTCCAGCCTAGGAGATAGAGACACTCCATCTCCAAAAAAAAAAAGAATCTTACTTAATCACTATTTTTAAAAATAGAAATTTTCCAAAGATTAAAATAACTTTCTGTTAAAGCAAAAAAAAATTTAACTTCTTTGTGTTGACTAAGTAAATATCAGAAAATAACATAAGCAGAATAGTTAGTTTTGGCCAATCAAATTTTTAATTTATATGTTTCTAAACCCGTATCTGGGAAATTCATTTTTTAACATGTATTATTTTTATTTTTTCATAAAACTGTCTTCAGTCTTCTTCAAAGTTGCATTTGATGATTACTAAGTTTTAAATTGTCCACACCTTCTTCAATTGATTCTTTTCTACTGATCATAATATTTTTAACTTGGAAAATACTCTCTCTACAACTGCTGCAATATCTATATTCACAGCAAATCTTGCTAAATGAGCAAATTCTGAATTGTAAATTTTTAATCCAAGTATATAAGTAGTTCAGCCTTCAAAATATTTTTATAGGTATGATTATTTTGCTACCTTTTGACAAGTAAATAATTTTATAACATAAACCTTCTCCAATTAATGATTTAATATTTCCCCAAATTTGGATACTGCAAAATAATCAGCCTTTTCAATCTCTTTCCATTGCTGTACAGATATACAATTATCCAATTAAAAATAGGGGCGCCACAAAGACACTTTCCAGAAGACACAATCACAGAATGTCAAAACTAACTTTTTTTTGTTTTGTTTTGTTTTGTTTTTGAGATGGAGTCTCACTCTGTCGCCCAGGCTGGAGTGCAGTGACGCGATCTCGGCTCACTGCAAGCTCCGCCTCCCGGGTTCACGCCATTCTCCTGCCTCAGCCTCCTGAGTAGTTGGGACTACAGGCACCCAACACCACGCCTGCCTAATGTTTTGTATTTTTTAGTAGAGACGGGGTTTCACCGTGTTAGCCAGGATGGTCTCGATCTCCTGACCTCGTGATCTGCCCACCTGGGCCTCCCAAAGTGCTGGGATTACAGGCGTGAGCCACCGCACCCAGCCAACTAACTCTTATACATCATTTAAGCTCTCATCATTTAATTTGTTTTCTTTCTTTCTTTTGTAGGAATATATTTCAAGTTTTGTTTTCAATAATTACTATTTGCTACAAACTTCAAAATGTACTGTTTGGGGCATTTAATTTGCTGAATACTTTGATTAAAGATTTCCAACTGTTTTTTAACCAACATACCAAAATATGGGGTATTTGTTGACAAATAAGTTTGATACCATGTTAGTCTGCCTAAACTGACTTCCAGTGTACTTCTTCAAAGACTATGGGGCAGTTAGCTTAGAATGCATAATAAATATTTGGAATAAATGAAATAAAAGAGAAAAGAACATCTAACTAGGACCACAGCAGAAGAGAGCAGAATGCTGCTGAGGAATGGGCTGAGATTTCATTTCATTCAGTTTTCAGCAGCTGCCACTCATCCGACAATGTGGTTTCCTCCACGGGACCCAGCAGCCCTGCTGCAGGAGCGGAGGCTGCAGGCAGCTGCGCTGCGGTCAGGTGTTGCATCTGCAGAGTGAATGCAGCAGGCAAAGAAGGAACCATGCCAGCAGGAGAGTGATCATGGGGAGGCTGGAAGGGATTTGGCTAGATAGGGAAGCCCAGGATTGGGGCAGGCACTAGCAGTTCTCAAAGCATCAGAGAACAAGCATCAAAATAAGAAATTAAGGGGTTGTTGTCAACAAGGCTGAGGGCAGACACGGAGTGGTGGCGATCAGGATGATAGAGCCGTAGCAGCTCTGGGGAACACCACTCTAGAGCGTGGCCGTGGGGCTGTGCTGCTTAACCACGGAGTTTTAGGAGAGAAAATGGTCAAGGACACAGGAGGTTATGATGTGGGTTGTCCTGTGGACACTGACATAGTGATCCTCCTGGCTGCAGAGCTGGGGAAGGAGCTGAAATCTATGAGTCGACCACCAAAGCCGTCAATGTAAGAAAGTTAAGTGGTCAGAGGTCAGGAGGGGCAGAAACAAGGAAGGCAGGCCAGGAACAGAGCGTGAGGCCTGAGCTACAGTGGAGTAAAGATTTTTTTTTTTTTTTTTGAGACATGGTCTCACTCTGTCACCCAGGCTGGAATGAAGTGGTGCCATCATAGCTCACTGTAACCTTGAATTCCTGGGTGCAAGCAATCACGAGCAAGGATTTAGGATGTAAAATTAATCATCCGGATGTAGCAAAAGGGGATCTAGCAGAATTCTAAATGCTTCCTTCAAACCCAGAACCAGAGAGCCTTTCAATAATCCCAGCCACTCCCCTTCTTCCTCGTGGGAAACATCAAATTTCATACATTCATTGGGGCTGCCACGCCAGCATCATCACCAACATGCGTTATTCATAAACCTCCAAGGATTCAAAGAGATGAGATCCGGTTTTGGAAATATCATCTCAGGAAACAGACTTTGCTAGCAAACAGCAAACACAACTGGATTTCTAACATCTGTGCTTGTTTCATGGAGATTAACACTCAGAAAATGGGGACAACAACAACACGAGACCACAGAATTTTAGACCTGAAACCTTAGGCCTATTTAAAACAAACAAACAACAACTAAAAACCCTCTACTTTTTGGGTAGACCCAGAGAGACCAGGCGCTGAGCTATCATAGACCTCATGAGAAGCAAATGGAAGCCTAGACTCTGTGGCTCTCTACTCCAGTCCATTCAATGCTCTTACCAATTAACAACATTCCTAAATTAATTTCCTATATAAACTCTGCAAGATCTCCCCCAAATCTCTTTCCAGGTGCCTGGCAAAAATCTTCCAAACGGGAACACTAGGAAGTTTACACCTCTAGCCTCATCTCTCCCATGGTGGGGACTCCATAAATACTTGTTGAGTGAATGAATGAATATGATGATGTGTAATGATTAGTACAGATTTAAGATGTTACAGAATTTTAGGAAAGAGAAAATTTCTGTGGCTGGGGCTTCTGGGATGAGAGAGGATGTGTAGCTTACATTTTAGAGAGGAGCCACTGTAACTCGCAATGATTGCTTTCCTTGGGGATTATGCAGCATGCTTTGGTATCACAGGGAAAGCCCTGGTGGAGCAGACACCCTTGAGGAGAGGATGATGGAGAATTAGCCAGGGGGATATGCCCGGGTGCTGGGCGGGACTGTGCTCCAGGCAGATGGGTATTCAGAAGCCTGGGTCGGATTATGAGGGATTTAGTCCGTCGTGGTGCTGCAAAAGAAAAGAGAGATTCTAGATGACTGAAAGGAATAGAAGGAGCATTATGGAAATTGGGAGACATGAGAGAAAACCCAAAGCAGGAATGGATACACTGCACTTGCAGGGCATGAGGAAATTAGTTTGGTTGGGGCAGAGTGCTGTTTCTTTAATAAGTCATCAAACAGAAATGCAACTCAAGCACATCTCAAACTAGAATGCCTAATCTGATATATTCTGAAATTTATTCGTGTGTAGGTGCTCTTTTTATAAGCCCCAAGTTTTTATCTACTAGGGAGTCAGAAGCAATGAAGTCCATGGTGATACTATCCGTATTTTTTTAATATATTTTACTAGCCCCATCTTACTGACTTTGTGACATTACATATATCCTTAAATCAAATAAATGTATAAGTAAATAAACGGATAGTTTCTGAAATTGATGCTTTATATTCTAAGGATGAACAGACTCTTAATGTACTTTCTATGACTTCTTAAATTTGAGTATTAGCGACCAGATCTAACTTTTCAAAAAGGTTACAATTGTTCATATAATGTATGGAATTTTTAAACTGTACATACTTAAAGAACTTATTAGATATTTGATGAAAGATGTTGACTGTCACTCATATTGGCTAAAATGCGTAAGATGGTATTTAGAAAAGTAGTGTGAAAATGTTTAAGTCAAAAATTATTGGACCGGGTGCGGTGGCTCACATCTGTAATCCCAGCACTTTGGGAGACTGAGGCAGGCAGATCACGAGGTCAGCAGTTCGAGACCAACCTGGCCAACATGGTGAAACCCTGTCTCTACTAAAAATACAAAAATTAGCTGGGCATGATGGTGCATGCTTGTAATCTCAGCTACTCGAGAGTCTGAGGCAGGAGAATCACTCGAACCTGGGAGGCGGAGGTTGCAGCAAGCCAAGATGCAGCCTGGGTGACAGTGTGAGACTCTGTCTCAAAAAAAAAATTATTGGATTAAAAACATGATTATAAAAAGTCAAAAACTGTTATAAGAGACAAGGAAGGATATTATATAATGATAAAAGTGTTAATTCACCAAGTAGACGTAACAAATATAACCATACATGCACCAAACATTGGCGCTCCAAAATATATGAAGCAGACATCAACAGAACTGAAGGGAGAAATAGCTCTACAAGACTTCAATACCCCACTTTCAATAATGGATGGAACAACCAAACATAAGACCAGTGAGGAAGCAGAAGACCTGCATGACACTGGAGAACAACTGGACCTAACAGATATATGCAGAGCACTTCATCCAACAACAGGAAAATACACATTGTTCTCAAGTTCGTGTGGAATATTCTCCAGGGTAGACCATATGTTAGGCCACAAAATAGTGTCAATAAAATTTAAAAGACTGAAATCATACAAAGTATCTTTCCAATCACAATAAAAGGAAACTAGAAATCAACTGTAGAAGGAAAACTAAACAATTCAGGGACAGACAGAAATTAACATACTATTAAACAACCACTGGGTCAAAGAAGAAATCACAAGGGAAAATATCTTAAGATAAATAAAAACACAACATACCAAAATGTATGGAATGCTACAAAAGCAGTGCTAAGAGGAAAATTTATAGCTATAAATGCTTACATTAAAAAAGAAGACCTTGAAAAACATGATTATGTACTGGCAACTTCATACAGTTGAACCTAGTAAGACTGGCTCCAGATTATGCCTTTTTTTTTCTTTATCTTCTTAACTCTCTAAATCTTTTATGTATCAGCAGGTTTTCCAGTGGCAGAAAAAATAAAGAACAAAGCATATTCAATCGTTAGTCCGGAGAAGGACAAAGCAGCAGCAGTAGCAACCAGAGGTATTGAGTTAGCTTCTGCTGGCATCTCCAGCCATAACTCCCACCAAGATGTCACATTACCACTGACCCCAGCCAGACTGAACTCCTACAGGACAAAACCACTCATGGATTAAATCCCTCACAGACCAAACCCTCACAGACTGAGCTCTCCTTACAAAGTCCCTCATAGACTCAGCCCTCCTCTCAGACAAAGCCCCTCATAGACTGAGCCCCTCACAGACTCTTCTTCCCTCCCAGGCTCCCTAACCCTTCTAGTGGTACCTGCCCTTCTGCCTGGAGCCCAGCTACCTATCTCGTGGCAGCACCTCCATCTGGCTGACTCTTAATCACCCTCCATTTAAGGTGTCTCCTCCCAGAGTGCCCTGCACTGTCCTCACGAAAGCAACCTCCGAGGGTTATAATCTCTCCTCTCTATAAGGAGCACTACTGAGGAGCATCGATTGTGTCTTGTCTGTATCCCCCAAGCCCCTTCCCACCCCCGCAATGCTAAACAGCAGAAACCACAGGCCTGTTAGGTGTTCAATTAGTATCTGCTGTGAACAAAGATAAGATTTTGGTAATTTATATATAAATATATTAAGGTGTCATATTCGGAAACATTTTTTTCTTCGTTATTATGCTTGGCTACTTACAGAAGGCTTTCTATTGGGAGTCATAATTTGTGTTCTAATTAAAACTGTTTCTGGGAACACAGACTATGAATTATGAATACAATATCCACACGACAGCTAACAGCGGTGACCCCCACAAACAGGGAACTGTGCAAACAGCTTACTGCACAAGACAACAGAGTACAGAGACCATATTTTCTCTTGGAGGCTGATCTATTTTCATGCCTTGGGGGTACCAGGAACCAAATTAATATTCTTTAAAGAATGGGTGTTTTGTCCTTAGCTTTTCAAGCTCAGCAGGAAATCACAACACTGGTAAAAAACTCACAACATTGGTAAAAAATTATATAAGAAATAAACATAATGATTGTAGTAAATGGAACAAGATTGTTCTAGTGAATTCCTGTGATACTGCTGAGTAAACTTTACTCCCCCTCACAAACCACCACAAAATATAGGATATTTTCTGGTGAGCTCTGCTTTTTAAATACTTCTTGAATCATAACGAATATCATTTTCCAGGTAAACTGAACCATTCACATTAATGGTACCTACGAAGTTCTTTTTTTCCTAGAAAATGCTATCAGTGTATCATATTAGGCTGGTCAAGGGCATACACTGGGTTGCTCACTGATTTGGGTAAATGATCCAACCTCTCTGCTCAGGTTCCTCATTGAAAACTGGGATCACAGTAACTCCTGAGTTTACTGTAAGGACTAAATGAGTAAAGAGATATGCTAACCATTATTACATTCCCAGGTGATCATATCAGTTAAGCATTTGTTAAGCGCCTAGCATAACGTGAAAGCACTGTTCCAGCAGACAACAGGCAGAGACAACTTTTCTGATGGTGACAAGTGCTACAGAGAGAAAGAAAGTTGGGGAGAGGGATAAGGAATTAATGTATGTGTGTCACGAGGTGGTGGCGGGAGTTGCTATTTTATACAGGAGAGCTTGGGGTATATGTCAGTGAACAGGTGACATTTGGCAGAAATTCTCATATTTCCGTTATTCCATGATAGCATTAAGATAAGTGATTCTGGCTGGGCGTGGTGGCTAACGCCTGTAATCCCAGCACTCTGGGAGGTAGAGGCAAGAGGATCACCTGAGGTCAGGAATTAGAGACCAGCCAGGCCAACACGGTGAAACCCTGTCTCTACTAAAAACACCAAAAATTAGCCAGGCGTAGTGGCAGGTGCCTGTAATCCCAGCTACTCAGGAGGCTGAGACAGGAGAATCGCTTGAACCCGGGAGGCAGAGGTTGTGGTGAGCCGAGATCGCGCCATTGCACTCCAGCCTGGGCAACAAGAGCAAAACTCCTTCTCAAAACAAACAAACAAACAAACAAACAAAACATAAAAAAAGATAAGCGATTCCAGCAGAAAGAATATCAGAAACAAGGGCCCTGTGGCAGTACTGGCCTGGTATGTTTGAGGAATTGCAAGGAAGCCAGACAGGCTGCAGCTGAACGAAAGAAAGGTGGGACAGGAAGTCAGAGAGGTTTCCAGGAGCCAGGACACATAGGTCCCTGGAGGCCACCATAATGACTTTGTCTTTGACTCGAAGATGAGAAGCCAATGGGAGTTTTTCAACAAAGGCGTGATAAGATCTGACTAACACACTAAAAAAGAACAGCACAGTGGGGTAGGACTGGGGGAAGAAAGATGTTTTATATGGTGGTTTGGAAAAGAGTGGTAGGTATAGAGACGAGGAAAAGTGGTTGTGTTTGTTGTAAATTCTGAAGCTGGTGGCCACAGGATTTGCCAAGGGATGGGATTGTTGGGTATAAGAGAAAAGGATAAGTCAAGGATGACTCCAGATTTTTGGCCTGGGCAACTGGAAGAATGGAGTTGCCATTTGCTAAGATGAGATAGACAGCAGGAGAAGCAGATTTTGTGGAAAATTCAAGAGTTTATTTTGGATCTGGTATGTGAGTGATGCTTATTACCTGGCCAAATGGAACTGCTGAGAAGACAGTTGGATATACAAGCTTAGAGTTCTGGACAGGGCTCCAGGCTGGAGATACAAATTGAGGAGTTACCCACATATGGAAATAGAAGTCTTACTGGAAATATGTTCTTATTCCACAGCAATATAATCTATTTCTTTTTAAAAATATTTCTGATTTATCCTTTGCATTGTATCAGCCTGAAGTTTATTTTACTTCCTAAGTTGTTACACTTGTAAAGGGGGAGGAGTTGAGGCAGTGTCCTTTCTTATCTCCGAATATATGGACTAATGTTCTTTTTTTTTTTTTTTTTTTTGAGATGGAGTCTCGCTCTGTCGCCCAGGCTGGAGTGCAGTGGTGTGATCTCAGCTTACTGCAACCTCCACCTCCCAGGTTTAAGCAATTCCCTGCCTCAGCCTCCTGAGTAGCTGGGATTACAGGCACCTGCCATCACACCGAGCTAATTTTTGTATTTTTAGTAGAGACGGGGTTTCACCATCTTGGCCAGGCTAGTCTTGAACTCCTGACCTCGTGATCCACCCGCCTCAGCCTCCCAAAGTGCTGGGATTACAGGCGTGAGCCACCGCGCCTGACCCTGGATTAATATTCTACAAGTCAAGTCAGATGAGAAATAAATTCCAAACGAACTGACTTTCCATCTATCACTTCTCCCTATGTCATAATGACTTCCTACTATCTAAAGCAGAATGTTCCAAAAACAGAATTCTGAAAAAAAAAAAAAAAAAAGCATTTTTCCAAAAACCCAAATAAAATTTAAATATAGACTCCTGGAAACAATTAAGACTCTTGCTGCAGCAGTACAGGAACAAATCTACTGCAATACTCAGAATTGAAATAGCAATTAGACAGGTAATAATATTAAGGTGCTGAGCATCCCCTGTTGTATCTCAGTGCCCACGATGCTGTTTCCTAGGAAACTAAAACTTTCCGAGGCACAAACATTGTAAAATACAGTCCTCCAAAATGTTGTGTTTTAGATCCTCCTCATATATTTAGAAGCTAAAGACTTTCTTAGCTCTTTAGTCAAACAAAAACAAAATAAAAACAAAAACTCTTTCCACTTTCTCACTGACCCAGACAGAAAAGATGGGGGCCAGGAGCAGTGGCTCACATATCCCAACACTTTGGGAGACTGGGAGGATTGCTTGAGGTCAGGGGTTTGAGATCAGCCTGGACAACACAGCAAGACCCATCTCTACAAAAGTAAAAGTAATTAGCCAGGCATGGTGGCACATGCCTGCAGTCCCAGCTACTCAGGATGCTAAGGTGGAAGAATCGCTTGAGCCCAGGAGTTGGAGGCTGCAGTGATATATGATCACGCCAGTGCCCTCCAGCCTGGGTGACAGAGAGAGAGCCCAACTACTGAAAAAAAAATTTAATAAAAAAAGAAAAACAGATGGATTCTCAGGAGCGTAAACCACTGAGCCTTGCCAAACAAAAACAAAAAATACAACAACCAAAAATAATACAGGCTACAAAATCCTCAAACCAAACCACAGACTTTCCCAGTAGTGTTAATTCTGATATATCCAGGGCTTTCTGTCATTGCTTTTTTCTTTTTATACTCATTTGGATAACTAATGGAGGCAAAAAGGGAATAAGAGAGGCTAATTTGAATTTTCAAAATGTCTAACACAAAATATTTTAAGACATATTATTATGCTATTAAAATACACCTAATACTTAGAACTAAACTATCAAAGTTTTACCAAATAGGATTCCTTCAGGGACTAACTAGAATTAATGTAAATTTCAGACGACATGATTATTGAGATAGAAAATGGTAAGAAATCCACAAAACAACACTGGAACTAGTAAGTGAGTTTAGCAAGATCAGAGGCTAATGCACAAAAATCAATTATATTTTTATATGCTAGCAGCAGCAAGCAACTGGAAAAATGAAATAAAGATCCATTGAAAATAGAATAAAAAATATTTCAGAATAAATTGAACAAGTATATGAAGACCTACATCCTGAAAACTATAAAATGTCACTGAGAGCAATAAAAAACCTAAATAAAATGAAAACACTTACGTTTATTAATCAAAAGGCTACATGTTTTAAGCTGTCAATTGTCCTCAAATTGGTAAACAGATTCAACGTAAGCTCAAACAAAATTCCCACAAGCATTAAAAAAGGCAGCCGGGCACGGTGGCTCACACCTATAATCTTAGCACTTTGGGAGGCCGAGACAGGAGGATTGCCTGAGCTCAGGCATTCGAGACCAGCCTGGGCAAGATGGTGAAACCAAACCTGTACTCAACTATAGAAAATGACCTGGGCACCTGTAATCCCAGCTACTCAGGAGGCTGAGGCACAAGAATTGCTTGAACCCGGGAGGCGGAAGTTGCAGTGAGCCAATATCGTGCCACTGCATCAGAGCCTGGACAATAAAGCAAAACTCTGACTAAAAAAAAAAAAAAAAAAAGGCAAGCCTATTCTAAAACTTACATGAAAATACAAATACTCTAGAATAGCCAAAGCTATTTTAAGGAAAAAACAAATAAATAAAAAAACTAAAGTTGGAGAACTTACAACAAATGATGCTGAAAACTGGATAGCCCTATGACAAAAATGAATATTGTCATTACTTCATACTATATATATAAAATTAACCTGAAATTGATCATGAAATATACCTAGGTAGAAAAGCTGACCCGGCACAGTGGCTCACGTCTGTAATCCCAGCACCTTGGGAGGCTGAGGTGGGTGGATCACTTGAGGTCAGGAGTTCAGGACCAGCCTGGCCAACATGGTGAAACCCTGTCTCTACGAAAAATACAAAAAAATTATCTAGGCGTGGTGGTGCATGCCTGTAATCCCAGCTACTTGGGAAGCTGAGGCAGGAGACTCACTTGAACCCGGGAGGCAGAGGTTGCAGTGAGCCGAGATTGCACCACTGTACTCAGGCCTCGGCGACAGAGTGAGACACCATCTCAAAAAAAGAAGGCAAAAGCTAAAATTATGTAACGTCCAGAGGAAAACATTATTTGCATAGGTAAAGACTTTTAACACAGGACACAAAAAGCACAAGCCATTAAAAAAAATGAACATCATCCCCACTAAAACTTTCCTTATTCAAAAGGTACCATTAAGAATTAGGTGACAGTGGCCCGGCGAGGTGGCTCACGCTTGTAATCCCAGCATTTTGGGAGGCCGCGGCAGGCAGATCACGAGGTCAGGAGATCAAGACCATCCTGGCCAACATGGTGAAACCCCATCTCTACTAAAAATACAAAAAATTAGCCAGGCGTGGTGGCGGGTGCCTGTAGTCCCAGCTACTCGGGAGGCTGGGGCAGGAGAATGGCATGAACCGGAGAGGCACAGCTTGCAGTGAGCCAAGATCACGCCACTGCACTCCAGCCTGGGCGACAGACTGAGACTCCATCTTAAAAAAAAAAAAAAAAAAAAAAGAATTAGGTGATAACTTCTTAGTATAACACCAAAAACATAAGCAACAAAAGAAAAAATAAAGCAGACCAACTCAAAGTTAAAAAACTTTTGTGCTGTAAATGAAACTATCAAGAAAGTAGAAAGACAATCTACAGAATAGGGGAATACATTTGCAAATCATGTCTGGTAAGATATTTGTATATAAAATATATAAAGCAGTCTTACAACAATAAAAGACAAATTAATTTTACAAAGGATAAAGGATTTTAATATATATATGTGTGTGTGTATACGTGTATATATATATCTCCATATATATATATATACATATCTCCAAAGAAGATATGTAAGTGGCTAACATGGGAAAAGATGTTCAAAATCGTTAGTTATCAGGAAAATACAAACCGAAATCTTGAGATGCCACTTCACACCCACAGGATGGCTATCGTCAAAAAGACAGAGAGTAAGTGTTAATAAGGATGTAGAGAAGTTGGAATCCCCATACGTTGCTCATGGGATTGTAAAATGGTACAGTCATTTTGGAAAATAGTTTGATGAGTTCTCAAAATGTTAAAAAAAAAAAAAGAGCTATCATTCGACCCGGCAATTTCACTCCTAGGTATATACCCAAGGGAAATGAAAGCAAGTCCACAAAAGAAGCTGTACATGAAAATGCCTGCATCATTATTCATATTAGCCAAAAAGTGAGACAACCTAAATGTCCATCAACTGAAAAACAGAGAAACAAAATGTGATATATCCAGATAATAAAATATTATTTGGTAATAAAAAGGAATGAAGTACTGATACATGATACAATATGGATTAATCTTGTAATCAATAAGCTGAGAGAGAGAATCTAGTCACGAAAGATCACATGTTGTATAATTCCATTCATATGAAAAGTCTAAAACAGGCAAATCCATAGGGACCAAAGATAAGTAGTTGCAAGAGACTAAGGGAGGGAGGAATTGACAGTGATTGCTAATGAGTACAGGGTTTCTTTTAGAGGGACAAAAATGTCCTAAAATTAGGTTGTAGTGATGGATGCATAACCTTGTGACTATAACAAAAAACATTTCGGGCTGGGCACGGTGGCTCACACCTGTAATCCCAGCACTTTGGGAAGCTGAGGTGGGTGGATCACCTGAGGTCAGGAGTTCAAGACCAGCCTGACCAACAAGGTGAAACCCCATCTCTACTAAAAAATACAAAAAATAGCTGGGCATGGTGGCAGGTGCCCACAATCCCAGCTACTCTGGAGGCTGAGCTAGGAGAATCGCTTGAACCCGGGAGGCAGAGGTTGCAGTGAGCCAAGATCACGCCATTGCACTCCGCCTGGGCAAAAGAGTGAGAATCCGTCTCAAAAAAAAAAAAATTTCATTGTACACTTTATGGGTGAATTGTGTAGTATGTAAATCAGATTTCCATGAATTTTTTTAAAAGGTGCCATTAAAAAAACAGCAACACAAGCTACAAAATGGAAGAAAATATTCATATTACATGTATCTGACAAAGTATGGACTATATAAAGAACACTTTCAACCCAAGAATGTGATGATAATCCAATAAAGATTGAGCGAAAGATCTGAACAGACACTTCATAAAAGAAGATATACAAGTGGCCAATCGGGGCATAAAAAAATGATCAACATGATTCATCATCGAGACATGCAAATTAAAACCACCCTGTGATATCACTACACCCCATTAGAATGGCTAAAAGTGAAAATCTCAAGGGCTAGCAAGAATGTAGAGCAACAGGAACTGACACATACCGCTGGCCAAAAAAAAAAAAAAAAAAAGCAAAACGGTACAACCACTTTGGAAAACTGTCAGACGGTTTATTAAAAAGTTGAACGCAACATCTACCATATGACCCATTCATTCCACTCCTAGGTCTTTACTCAAACATGCATGCACACAAAGACCTGTACGTGAACGTTCACAGCAACTTCACTCGATAGAGTCCGCCAACTGGGCACCACCCAAGTGTCTATAAATACAAAAGTTTAAAACATGAGGAATATTCATAAAATAATGGAATACTACTCAGCAATAAAAAGGAATGAACCACTGAGACATGCTACATGGATGAATGTCAAAATAATGATGAGTGAAATAAGCCAGACACAAAAGGTACATACTATATAAGTCAATTTATATGATATTTTATAAAATATAAAATAATCTCTCATAAGTAAAGTAGGTCACTGGTTGACTAGGGTCATGAATGAGGAAGAGAAGACTTTGAAGGGGTCGAAGGGGTCTTGAGTGGCATGGAAATTTTCTGTCTCTTGACAGTGGTGGTGGCTTTAAGGGTATGATTCTCTCACGTTCATCACTGAAGTGTCCATTTAAATGGATACAGTGACTCGTATGTAAATGATACCCCAATAAAGTTGATTGGTATAATGAGAACCAATAAAAAAGGATACAATTTAACATTTTTTAAATTAGCATATCTAATTTTTTATATAAATAAACCTTCTGAACTACTGCGCAAATTTTTTTTCCTTAGGTAATTCAAACATTCATTGCCTCTAAACTGGATTTTGTGATTAATTTGCTCGACAAATCTCATACGATGTCCCCCAACAGTTAATCCCACCCTAATTCCTCTCTGAATTACTAAAAATTCTTAATGAGTGTGCCCCATATTAACGACGTGGTTTTTTGTGGGGTTTTTTTGTTTGTTTCGAGACAGAGTCTTGCCCTGTCGCCCAGGCTGGAGTACAGTGGCACAATCTCAGCTCATTGCAACCTCCACCTCCCAGGCTCAAGAGATTTTCCTGCCTCAGCCTCCTGAGTAGATGTGACTGCAGGTGCCCACCACCATGCCCAGCTAATTTTTACATTTTTAGTAGAGATGGGGTTTCACCATGTTGGCCAGGCTGGTCTCGAACTCCTGACTTTAAATGATCTGCCAGCCTCGAACTCCCAAAGTGCTGGGATTGCAGGCGTGAGCCACCATGCCGGGCCAATGAGGTTTTGTTTTTTGTTTTTTGTTTTTTTTTTCTTAACACAAAAGAAAGAGGAATTCCTTGACAGAAAAAGCTCAGGGAAGGGCAGGGATAGCAGTGTCCTCATATGACTTCCAGGCTTTGTTCTGAGGTTGGTTTTGTTCCAGACATTTTTATGTTTTTATGTCAACCCATATTTGCGATAACTTTTGTTGGTAGTATACAACCCCAAGTTGCTTAGAAAGGCAAATTCTAAATCGACTTGAACTTTATCTCATAAAATTAAAGACCATCTGTAGAGGCATAGTGATGAAATGATACAGATATCCATAGAGAAACCACGTGTACTGAAGACCTAATATTGTGAGATTACTTCCTACACTTTTCTCCTTCACTATCACTATAATCCTCTAATGAAAATATTATTATCCCCATTTTCCCATTATCGAAACTGATACTCAGAGCCCAGTTATTTGCCCTAGTTCCCCTGGCTAGAAAGAGGCAGAGCTGAGGTTGACACATTTGAGGTGCTTTAACTGATATTTGGTTATAGTCCCATAAACACAAAACTTAAACAAGTAGATCCATATAGCTTTAGATTGAGGATTAGTAGTTTTTGCATTACCAATGAAAAAACACACATTTAAATACACAGCTAACATTTTGCGGGGCATTTGGTTGCCACTGAAATCTCATAATCTTCCAATTAGGCAATAATATTTGATGAGAAAGTGATGTGCTTGCATCTTTATAGAGCAGAAATTGCATAAAGCAAAGTCACATGAACTTCTAGGGCATGCTCCCAAATTTGGGGAGAACTAGCTCTCTCTAGGAAAAACCAGAAATACGGCAAAGTGTAACGCAAACAGAAGAACAAGGAACTAGAAAAGGTAACTCGAGTTAACATGGTAACCAAGAAGTAAAAAAACTTCTTTGACTTATACCATGGCTGACTATAACATACAAATCTCTAAAACTGCTAGTCACCACCTGGAACTGCCATTTGACAGAGAGAAATCATACATATGCTTCTGGCATAGACAGCTTTAAAATATTTATACAAAAATATCATAACCTACAAAAATATTTTGAAGATCATGAAAGGTTAACTAAATGCACCGATGAACACTTATTTGCATCCTAACATGATCCCAAGTTAATGTGTTGTTCAAACATTCATAAGGAAAAGAAAAATCTATGGAAAAGAAATTGTGAGCCTAATCATCAATTCTCCATACCCTCAACAATCCAAAGTCTCAAAATCATTAATAAATCATGAAATTAAGTCTATATTCTAATGTTCAACAAAAATCTCCTCAGTCATTAAACTTAATCTTATGATGTTCCAGCATTTATTTATTCAGGTAATGGTTAAAGCATAATATTCCGACACAGTTTCTATCAGTTAATTCTACTAAATGTAGCCCTGGGATATTCCTAGGAATCTTATCACTTAGAGTAAAGCATTTATGCAGGCAGGGAGGCTAATTTCAGCTAAATTTTTAAAAATGCATTTTCAAGTAAAGTCTTTATTTGAATATCTGGCTTTCTGATTTCTTCCCTCTTTTGGTAATCTCCAGTGTTAATGGAATGCAAAAATAATCTAATGAGGGGGATAATGTCATGGTCTGACACCAATTATACTTCTCTTATGTCTGGCACGAATTCCCTTTTCAGTCACATGTGCTGTTATCTGTCAAAGGAATAATACAAGGGAAGAAACGGGTATACACAGTTACCATCTGCTTCCCTCCCCCGGCATCCCTGGAAAGGATGACAAGGGTGGGAGTTTCTCCTAGAGACAGGAGCAAAGTGTACCTTACAGTGGGCCCACTGAAGTGTCTTCAGGCAGCCACATTTGGCCCTGGCATATTAGAAAGCAATACAGACACCCTGCAACAGGAAGGTCACATTCACTGCTGAGCTCTAGGTTATCAGTCCAGCCCAGCAGTGCAGGCTGGTGCAAGGGAGGCCTGTAGACGCCTGTGTGCAGCCCACCGTCTTTAGTTGGATACAGGCCTCTCTAGTATCCCACAGGCCTCCCTGCTCCCTACTGCCTTACCTGGCCCACTTCAATCACTTCTTTTCCCACCTGATCCCTTTAGACATTGGAGTTTGCAAGTTGGTTCAAAACTCATCAATCAAACAAGGTACTTACAGCTGCATGACCAAGTACAGGTGATTTGGGCTTTCATAAATGTCTTCCAGGGCAACAATATTTTCATGCTTAATCCTGAAAAAAAAAATAGACGCACAAAATAGTGAGTATGATTAGATAGGAAAATGTTTCAAAACAGACAGCATTGTAGCAAAAAGTTACAAAACAGAATCCAAACTCCTGAACAAAAAGATTTCAGACTTCACAATGTTGTCCCCAGACTTTTTCCAGACCCATTTCCTAACAGTCCTTCCCTGATCTCCATTCCTCTTCGTTCCTAAGGCTCAATACCCTACAGTTTAGCAAGAGTGGATTAACAATTGTTGCTTCATGTGAATCCCAGAAATGGGCCAAACCTATTATCTTGTAGAGCCCAACTCAGAGGGCTGAGCCACTGGGCAGAATTATTCCCTCTTCTGTTGTCTCCCAGTGGCCATCACGGACTTGCCTGACCACTTAATTATATGAAAATCTATCCCCCATGACAGGCATATGTCAGGGAGCAGGGAGACCTGGTGAGACACTGGAGAATATATATGTTCCAGGGAACAGTTTCTCTGGCATGTCCATGGGTCCAGTGTAAGGAAAAAAAAAACCAACCTGACTCCCTCACTGGGGTTCATGTCCCCCCACCCCACCCCACTACCAAATGTCACTTCAGCTTCCCAAGCAAACTAGATCAGTGCTACTCAAAGTGTGGTTCTCAAACAGGCAGCACCAGCATCTACAAAGAGCTTAGCAGGAATGCAAATTATCAGGCCCCACGACAAGCACAGAGTACACAAGTTGAGGGCAGAGCCCAGGAATCAGTATTGTAATAAGATGCTCAGATAATCTACACGTGTAAACTAGAGCTTGAGAAATACTGTGTTAGACCAGCGCTGCTCAAACTTCAACGTGCAGATGAATCGCCTGGGGGTCTGGCCCCACTGCAGGCCCTGCGTCAGCAGGTTTGCTTGGGGCCTCGAAGGCTGCATTTCCAACCAGCTCCCAGGAGATATCGGTACTGCCGATCTGCAGACTGCACTCTGAATAACCAAGTTCTAACTCAAGAACCAGGGCAGAAGGAAACAGCCGAATTCTAGCCGTTGGCACTATCCATTAAGAGCAGTTTCTGCTCAGAATGTAAGGCTTGACATTATTTAAAGCATGTGACAGAAAAAAAAATGATTTCATTACTCAAGGTGATAATTAGCTCTTACCATAAGCCTCTCATTGAAATGACTGCTGAACCATTTAAAGACAAGCACAGAACACGCAGATTCTTGTGAACCTCTTGAAAGCTAGAACTACATTATTCATTTTGTTTGCTCCTGGTGCCTAGCACAGATCTGCTGAATAAATGCTTGCTGAATGAATGAATGATATTGAAAGGCTGTTGCCGCTAAACAGCAAGAAACCTTATTTAGTTAGGAAAAACGGAAACCATTTTCCTAAATGTGTGATGTCTTCCCCGCGAAAGAAGTTTATAAGGTGGAAAACAAACAAGAATATTATCTTCTTTTTGAGATGAAAGAGAACAAGATAATTAACAAAGACTGGTAAAGCTTTCCTTTGAATTCTACAGCTTGTAGTAGTTAATGCAGTTGTTTTGCAGGAGCTAAAACAATAGATTATACTAAATTCACCTTCCACCTGATTCCAAAGAATAGAGTCTAATTATTTGTCAGCCATAGTTTCTACGTGGTCTGAGCAAGATACTACCAGCCATACAGCATATGAAAATAAACTATGCCACCAAGGAAACCAAGAGAGCTTAACTTGAGACTACCAAGATCCTACAAATCACGGCATTATCATTATTGGATCTACCTAAAAGAATATGCCCACAAAAAGTAGGCATCACGTAGATTTTCCCTTTTTGGAAAAATTGTTTTAATTTGCAATTGGAATCAATCACATGCTCATAAACATTTTCTTTTAGTCCAGCTCATTTGAGAGTTAATGAAGAGCCTAGATTTCTGGAGAAATAGGAGGAATGGGATTATATGAAGAGTGGCCAGAGAAAATGCATGGCACACAGTTACATCTGAACTGTAGCAAAACGGTGAATACTTTTGTAGTTTAAGTACGTCCCAAGTATTGCATGGTTGTTTATCTGAAATTCAGAGGTAACTGGGCATGCTGTATTTTCACGTGCTAAATCTAATCACTCTGCTTACATCACTCAATCTCTAAATTGGGTTTAGAGATTGGCACCTGCAGCCCTGGCTTGCCTTGGAGGTTGAGTCAAGAAGGCTGTCTGAGCCCCAGAGTCCAGTCATTCATTCAGATTCAACAATAACACAAAGCACTTGCCTAGCTATCATTGCGGACCCCAATAAATTAGGACTACATTCCCCTCCTTTGATACACGGGATAGAGAATTAAAGCCTATTAACCTGCTATGTCTTACATGAGTGCTGACTAGAAACTGCTTTTAATCCATTGCAGCGTTCCAGAGAAGTGTTGCACACAGCAAGGACAATCCCAAATAGCAGTTTCACAGTGGCTGGAAAGACACTTTATTAATATCTCTCCATCAACCAATCAAGCAATTGTCATTTGCTGCGTTTCTGCTATGTGTCTGGAAGAAAAGAAAAATAAAAAATAAAGTTTTGCTATCAAAAAGCTTATCATCTAGGCAGAGAAACTCAGGAAGAAATTAGAAAAGAATCAAATGCTAAATTCTGTAGAATTGCCTTTAAGTTCAGAGAAAGCAGAGCCCTGAATGGGTCAGAATTATGGAGAAGGTCTCAAGAAGTTGCTGGGAGTTGAGCTGGAATGAGTAATGTTTGAATAAGCATACTTGAGAAATTTCAAATAAATCCTAAAATGGCCTCTTAATGTCTCTTAAGAAAAGTGGTTTAATTAACTTGGAGCTGTTCAAACATGGTTAAAAAAAATTATTCTGGCCTCCCACATCTGTTCTCAGGTACTTTATTCCACCCTCACATTGCTTACAATGTGCAAAATCTGAACGTAAAGTTTTAACATTATTTTAGTGCATGAGTTATTTTCAAAAAATGCCATACGACTATCCATGCATTGTGCCCTAGAAGTAGGGCACAAGCACCAAATGAAGGCCTATTCCAGGCAAAGGCTCATTTCATGCTCAATTTCCTCTTTTCATTATTCATTCAATAAATATCTGTTGGGTGCCTGCCATGTATCAGGCACAGTCCTAGGTACTCTGAATTTGGTGGAGAACGAGACACAAGAAAGGCAGTCTCAGCCCTCCTGGTACTCATGCACTGGCTGGAGCTAGAACGCTTCTCAGACAGCCTGTCTCACACTTACCAGAAATCAGCCTCCTGGTCATTAGTAATGACTCCTAGGACCAACAGAGAACTAGCTTCCACCTTCTTCCCATATATCCTGCACAGATTTGAGGGATATAATGCCTCTGCTTAGTCTTCTCAATGCTGACCAGTCTTCCTACAATACGGTTTATATTCTTCTCATTGCTCTATCATCACTCATTTGTCCAGACTCTAGCATTCAGATCTGGAAATACTGATCCCAGGGTAAAATACAGTATCATGAATACGGTATTAAATAGTAAAGTAGAGGCCGGGCACGGTTGCTCATGCCTGTAATCCCAGCACTTTGGGAGGCCGAGGTGGGCAGGTCACTTGAGGTCAGGAGTTCCAGACCAGCCTGGCCAACATGGTGAAACCCCATTCCTACTAAAAATACAAAAATCAGCTGGGCGTGGCGGCATGTGCCTGTAATCCCAGCTACTCAGAGGCTGAGGCAGGACAATCGTTTGAACCTGCGAGGCAGAGGTTGCAGTGAGCTGAGATCGTGCCATTGCACTCCAGCCTGGGCAACCAGAGCAAAACTCTGTCTCAAAAACAAAAACGAAAACAAAAACAAACAAACAAAAAAAACAAGGAAAGGAGAACTAGTAACCAACATGAACTGGATATTATACTTCTACCAATAAAAGCTAACAAGTTCATTGTCGTAGTTTTGAGCCAATGCATAACCACTGGCACACAGAAAATATAAACTCCAGGTAGGGAGGGATTTTTGACTGTTTCACTACTGTCACCCCAGTGCCAAACAAAGAGCATGGCACATAGTTAATTACTGAATATCCAGTTTAGGGCCAATTAAATCACCAGATCATTTTAATCTGAAGTTCTACCAAACACAATCTCCTTTTTTTTTTTTTGAGGCAGAGTGTTGCTCTGTCTCCGAGGCTGGAGTGCAGTGGTGCAATCTCGGCTCACTGCAAGCTCCGCCCCCCGGGTTCATGCCATTCCCCTGCCTCAGCCTCCCTGGTAGCTGGGACCACAGGCGCCCGCCACCATGCCCGGCTGATTTTTTGTATTTTTAGTAGAGACAGGGTTTCACCGCGTTAGTCAGGATGGTCTCCATCCCTGACCTCGTGATCCGCCCATCTCGGCCTCCCAAAGTGCTGGGATTACAGGCGTGAGCCATTGAACCCAGCCCACAATCTCCTTTCTTACTCGGGTTGATATTGTGAGAGCTTAATGTCTTCACCTTTAGCTTCATTAAATCCAATCATTCTGGATTCCATGCAGCGTTTCAGATGATCAGCAGTGTTCTGAATGTTGATTGACTCATCTATTGCTCTTATTATCCCTCCCAACTTTGGGCCATCTGTGTACTTGGTAAATATCCATCCCATGTGTCTTCATTCAAATTCCTAATTAAAATTTTAAATGGAAGGTTACATGTCAGAGCTCCATGGTATTCCACCAGAGACCCGCATCAAGATAACCATGACGTTAATCAGCTGGCTTCAATTGCTCTCTAGCTGCAAACCTAGCAGTACTATCATCTAGCCTGTGTTTTACCATCCCATCCATAAGGAGACAATTAGATGCTTTGCAGAAGTAGAATTCTTCAGCTCTACACACCACATAATACTATTTAAAAGGGAAATGGGATGTTCGGGAAGATTTGTTCTTAGTAACCCATGTTAGCTCCTAGCAACCACTACAGTCTTTACTAAATGATCACAAACCATCTGCTTAATTTTCTGTTCCAGAATTTTGCTGTGCATTGAAGTCAAGCTTTCCAGTCTATAGATCTCATCTTCTACCCTTTATATGTTTGGGAATTTTGACAACCTCTCTTACATTGTTTTCTCAAACATTTCAGCTGTGACTCTTCTGTGATAAGTGCAATTTCCTCAGTCCCCTGGGATGTCACAGATCTAAACCTAGTGATGAGCTAATTTTATAACTTTTGTTAGGCCTTGCTTACATTGCTGTTTTATTGTACCATTTATTGTTAACTATGTGTTAAGACTGCACTAAGTATTTTTAATTATTTCATTTACCATTAACAACAAGCCCATGAAGTAGGTATTATTTTCTCAATTTTTAAAAGAGGAGAAAATAAGGAAGGAGACTAAGATCCCATGAGGCTAGGTAAGTATTCCAAGATCACAGAACTCATAATTGTCATTGCTGAGATTCAATCTATGTCTATTCTCACTCCCTAGCCCATGTTAAAGCAATTACGCTATAACTTAACTAAGTTATGAGACTATCCAAGAGCTCATATAAATTCAGTTATTTCTATAAAATTAGAATATCTAAAGTCAAAGTATTAATGCCATCATTAACAATATAATATCCACTTCTGTGGGTGCAGAGATTTGTTGAATTATCTTGAATCTAGTGGATGTGCTCAAGATACTCGGTTGTAAACATCCTAACAGATGAAATTCCAGTGGGTCAGACAGAATCAGAAAAAGACATGTTGAAAAGCAGAAGGAATAGGGAGAAGTCCAGAGTAATTAGAAAGAGGTTCTCCTTAGCCCATATCTGCTAGTGTCATCAAAAAAGAGAATCAACTGAACAGAGAAAAGAGGCAGAGATGTCAGTTATAGGCAAATGGAAAATGGAGATTCTGTCAACTAGCACAGCGAAATCCCAGAGGTCAACACTCTTTCCAAAGTATGGCCAAGAGGATCTTCATCCATAAGGGATGTTGACTCTCAAACAGCAAAATGTCCTGAAATGTGCGTAATTCAAAGCCATAATAATGTCACTGAAAACAACTTCAGGTGATAAAAAGAAACTCAACTTAATTTTCATCACTTATCATTTACCAGGCCCAAAGTAAGCATGAGCTGACACATCTATATACAGAGAGAAAATGGTTTATATGGCAACCTACATGAAAGCCTCCATAATCTCCAATAATGCACAGAAATGGTAGAGGGAAGTGGGTCCAGGCAGAGAGAGTCAACTTGAATGGGAAAAAAGCACATGGGCATTGAAGCAGACTTCTGTCCATATAGTAACTGACAGCCAAGCAAGAAAACTCCAGAAAAAGCCAAGAAAACATTTTAAAATTAATTCATGCATAAAAAATAACTGATACCAAATGTACAAACAGGCCCCGTTACAAAGCCCCCAAGCTTTGTAAGGGAACATCAGGACCCAAAGGGTCAGCCTGCTACTGACTACACGTGCTTCTGTGGAGTGAGAGTAACATCTTCCCCTCCAGCCTCATGTACCCCAGTTCAAGGATTCACAAATTTTTAACTCCATGGCAAATGAGGAAAATTTAAGAAAAAGAAAGAAAAAGCAAAGCACAAAAGAGAGGAGAAAAAAAGTTCAGCATTTCTCACTTTTTCCATTCGATCATTTTACTGATCTGCAGGGCATCCCTGGAAGCAATTATGAGGTAATTCAGAGGAAGCAAAAGACCACAAAATGCCTTTCCTTGCTATTGCCATTCTCTAGTAATGGGCATTGACCTACTTAGGTTATGAACGCCAGATGAAGACAAGGGATGTAAGAAAATACAATCGGAAGGGAGAGACAAGAGTGAAACTGATTATAAGAGAGGATGAGGTGGGGATAGCGAGGCACAGATTGCCCTGCAATGTGCAAGGAGAAAGTTACGTCAACGAGCCGCAATCAGCTTCCGGTCCGCTTTTCAGGCACTTCCGGGTTTACAGTCTAGTCTGGGAAAGGCCTCTCTCCGCAAGCAAAGGCCATAGAGGACCAGGTCTTTCACTACCCACCATTGTCACTCTAAGCAGCCCAGAAAGCTGAAATTTTATTCACACAAAAAGAGAGGCGTGGTTCCCTGGCATGGAATTGCCTCAAAAGTACTTGAAGAATATTGTGATGTCTTGGCAAACCCTCCCGTTTATCTAAGTAAACGCTTATGTTTTTTCGAAACTGAAAAAAAAATCATTTCCTCCTTACTAGGGTCAAATTCTTGTTTTCTCACATTATAATCAGTGTGGGAAATAATGCTGAGAAAATTGGGATATTGTCAGTCACAAGAACAGTGATAGCACTGAAATATTGGCCAGATGGTATTAAAAGTAATACCTTTCATTTTAATAAACAGGCACATTGGCAGGTGTTATTTCATTCTGCAACAGCCTTATAAAGTAGGCATTATTATTCCTATCTCACAGATGATCACTCACAGTTTATAATCACTTAATTGTTCTCCCCAACTCCCTCTGGTCTCACTCTCTTCCTATCCATTTTCCGTGCTGTCTCCTGAGTGATCTCTCCAAAATATAGAACTGATAAAACTTCTTAGCATGAAATCCAGCACTGGCTCCCTGTAGTACAGGAGAAAGTTCAAACAACTGGCATGGCTTACAAGTCACTTGTTACTTGTGAAATGGGAAAAGTTCCCTTATCCCACTTGCAGGGTGTGCGACAGGGGGACTGGCTCACGTTCTCAGTGCCAGCTGTTGATAATCCTAGGGGAGCATGCAGACGGGCAGGCTGTGGGCCTCCGACCCCACAGCAGCATCTGGGGTGAATGCTTACAGCTTCCGAAGCCCCAGTGGGCATGTGTTACAGGGTGCTCTTTTAGTTTTGCCATCTGTAAGCAGCTTGTGTTAATCAGCTCTATTAGACCCTCTGCCTTATCACAAGGACAGAGGGCTTTCTGTATCCTGGGGTTCTTGCCTTGGTGTACCGGAAAAATCGGATCACACGTGGGCTTGGAGAATGAGTGCAAAGTTTCTTATGGAGTGGTAGCTCTCAGTGAGGTGGAAGGGGAGGCCAGAAGGGGAATGGAGTGGGAAGGTGGTTTCCCCTGGAGTCATGCTGCCCAGCGGCTGGGCTCTCCTCCAACTGCCCCAGCCAAACTCCACGTCCTTCTGCTGGTCAATGGCCTGATGGTGTCTTCTGCTGCCTGTGGGTCTGCCGGTGCATTCCTCTTGATGTCCAGCCATTTGTGTGTGTGCCCACTAGGGTCTCAGGGTTTTTATAGGCACAGGATGGGGACATGGTGGGCCAGGGTGGTCTTGGGGAAGGCAACATTTGGGCACAAAAACAGAAATGCCTGTCCTTACCTAGTTTTGTGCACATAGGCCTGGGGGTGGAGCACTAGGCATGGACCATGACTTTCCCTTTCCCAAGCACTTCCCTGCCCCCCTCCCCTATCACTTGGTCTTTACTTGCCCATCCCACATCATCTTCCACCCTGCCCCACACCAACATTTTACTGAACCCCGGCAGGTCTCGCACACCCCGCCCTCCCCAGCCATGCACACCTTCGTCTCTGAGTGTGCTCATCACTCTCCTGTCTTCTTACGAAAATACTCATCCTTTAAGACTCATTTCTCTATCACCTCCACTGAGAACCCTTTGCTGTTTCTCACAGCTTGCAGCACCAATCACCTTTCCTCTGGGTCACCCCAGTTCTTTGTTTTTTTTGAGACAGAGTCTCATTCTGTCACCCAGGCTGGAGTGCAGTGGCACGATCTCGGCTCACTGCAACCTCCACCTCCTGGGCTCAAGCAATTCTCCTCTCAGCCTCCCGAGTAGCTAGGACTACAGGTACGTGCCACCATGCCCAGCTAATTTTTGTATTTTTAGTAGAGACAGGGTTTCACCACATTGGTCAGGCTGTCTCGAACTCCTGGCCTCAGTTGATCCGCCCGCCTCAGCCTCCCAAGGTGCTGGGATTACAGGTGTGAGCCACCGCACCTGGCCCACCCCAGTTCTTGGATCACCTTGCTGTCTGTACTGCATTGTATCCAGGTATCTGTTTGTATGTAAATGTGTGTGTGTATATTTAAATGATCTTACAGGCAGAGTAAAACATCTAGAGGGATACATATCAAACCAGTGAGTAAACACTTCAGAAAGTACTAGAGTAGAAGATTCTCACTTTCCAGTTTTTCCTCAACTGGGGCTCTTCATCTGAACCACAGAACACAGAAAATGATTCAAGTGACTACTTTCTCAGTCCTCCAAGACAGCACCATTCTAGCTGCAAAGGAGAAAGTTAATTTAGTGTAGACAATAAATGTCTTAAGCATTAGCGCTTCATTCTCTCACTGAACCCAAGAACAGTCAAGTTGCTAAACTGTTGTATTGCCCAACTTTTACAGAAAGGTGTTTTTATTTATTTATTTATTTATTTATTTATTTTTATGAGACAGAGTCTCTCTCCATCACTAGGCTGGAGTGCAGTGGCACAATCTCAGCTCAATGCAACCTCAGCCTCCTAGGTTCAAGCGATTCTCCTGCCTCAGCCTCCCGAGTAGCTGGAACTACAGGCATGCGCCACCACACTCAGCTAATTTTTGTATTTTTAGTAGAGACGGGGTTTCACCATGTTGGCCAGGATGGTCTCGATCTCTTGACCTCGTGATCAGCCTGCCTCGGCCTCCCAAAGTGCTGGGATTACAGGCATGAGCCACCGTGCCTGGCCAGAAAGGTGCTTTTAAAAAGTTCTTGATGAAAATCATTAACCAAGTTCACCAAGTTTACCAAAATATATCCATAAAAGTGCACACAAAAAGAAATGCATACTGATTAGTGGAATTGCACAAGCAATCAAGAGATTAGCTTGCGTCTTAGCTCTGATACATCTAACTGCAAGACTTTGAACAAGTCGTTAAATACTTTCTGATTTGATTTCTCATTTGTTAAATGAACATCAAAATATGTCATCTTGTTATTTATCTATCCACGTGTATATATATGTGTTTATGTAAAAAAAATGTATATACACACACACATGTAACATATTACTGTATAGTTAGAGATCTTGTGTTGTAGACCATAGGCCACTTCAAGAAATGAGCAGAATTCAAAATCCTAAGCTTCAAATCACCTCTCTTTGCTGCCAGAAGATGGAGCTATACTCAATGGGCAACTAAGGAGCCAAGACTATGATACCTAAATCAACTAAGCTCTTAAGTCTGTAAGCTAGTTTTGTTGTTGTTTTTTAAAGATTAAGTACTACATGTTGATACTGATTGTGAAATGAGTTTTTCCTTGAATCCTTATAAACAAACAAACAAATGACAATAAAAACCCTTGTGCACAAATGGCGGTTTTTTTCTTTTCTCTTTTTTTTGAAACAGGGTCTCTCACTCCGTCACCCAGGCTGGAGCGCAGTGGTGTGGTTTCGGTTCACTGCAACCTCTGCCTCCCAGGCTCAAGTGATCCTCCCACCTCAGTCTCCCAAGTAGCTAGGACCACAGGCATGTGCCACCACACCCAGCTAATTTTGGCATATTTTTGTAGAGATGGGATTTCACCATGTTACCCAGGCTGGTCCTGAAGGTATTTTCTTAATAGCACCCCAGGCCTCCTTAGTACAATGCAGGGTACCCACTGTGGGGGCATAGCTAGCACTCATATGTGTAGGGATGCAGTGCTAGAGCCTGTAATGGTCCCACAGGAGGGGCATCAACGAGCTGGTTCTGTCTCTGACACTATGACCACATTCTGGTCACATCCCCTTCCTGGGTCTCGGTTTCCTTGTCTAGAAATCAACCAGCCAGACCAGAAAGTCCCCAAGGTCTCTTCCAACTCTAACAATCAATGAATCTAAACTTATAATGAGGCAAAGTGCATTAAGGTATCTATGAGAACCATCAACTTTGACTCTAAGTCCATATTCAGTGTTCTCTGGAATAGTCTTTGCTACACAGAAGCCTGGTGACAACTTGTGCATCAATAGGTTCTTTATCTGCACAGACAAGTTTGTCAGCTGGACACAGAACAGAATTTTCTTGAGACATGAAGTTGTTTACACAGAAAAGACCCACTTTTCCTTCTCCCACATCAGCATCCACAATGCCTGGACTAATACAGAAACGCCCAAGTGATTTGCTCTTGTCTAGAATGGCTCTAGAGGTCCAGCTGAGGCCTGGCGGTCTTTCGACCAAAGGAGAAATAAGTTAGGTCCAGTTCAGTGTGAAAAATCCAGTGTGAAAAATCCAGCACATATCAACACTCAAGGAATGTTTATGGAAGAATGAATGAATGAATGAACAATTAATTCTCACCTTCCAAAAGTCTTACAGACTCCAGACATTCCAAAGCTACACACCAGAATGAAAAAAGGTTCTAAGATTTGACTGTGTATTTCTTTCCTATTTCTGTTACCATCCATGAGAAGTTACCAGTGAATGGGTGATACAGTTTGGATAGTTTTTCTTGCCCAAATCTCATCTTGAATTTCAATCCTCAATGCTTGAACATGGGGTCTAGAGGGCAGTGTTCAAGTCATGGGGGTGGATCCCTCATGGCTTGGTGCTGTCTTTGCGACAGTGGCTTCTTGTGTGGCACCTCCCCCTCCCACTCTCTCTCGATCCTGCTTTCACCATGTGACATGCCTGCTCCCCCTTTGCCTTCCATCATGAGTGTAAGTTTCCTGAGGTCTCCCTAAAAGCCGAGCAGATGCCAGCACTATGCTTCCTGTACAGCCTGCAGAACTGTGAGCCAATTAAACCTCTTTTCCTATAAATTACCCAGGCTCAGGTATTTCTGTATAGCAATGCAGGAACGGCCTAATCCAATGGGTCTCAAGCTCAGATACGTGCTAGAATTATCTGAGGAGTTCCAAATGTACTAATAACTGGAACATTTTTGGAGATTATGATTTGATTGGCCTGCGGCGTGGCCTAGGCGTAACAAGTTCTTTATAGTTTCTCCAGTGATTCAAACGTGCAGCCAAGTTTGAGAACCACTGGTAAGTCATTTATTACTAAATTACTGAGAATCTTAGGTCATGGGAAAGGGTTCAACTTTAGATACTTCAGAGCTGATAACTTCGTGGCTTCCGTGCCCATTTTAAATTTATCTAGGCTGAATACATTTATTTGATAATAAGTCTGATTTTTAAAGGTTAAGATCCAGGGTGTCCTAAGGATAAAGATTTAAGGCTACATGGCCAACCCATTACTCCTCTCAGGATAAGAATATGAAAAAAATAACATTTCTTAGCAAGTATAATAGTATTAGCAACTAATATTTCTTAGCAAGTAGTATTAGTAATACTTCTTCTACTATTTCTTAGCAAGACTTTGAAACACTAACACATTTAAAGGAATACTGTCATTTCCTTCTTTGAATCTTTTGGTAACTTTTTGTCAAAGGGTAATATATATTTCTGTGGGCATTTTAAACATGAAAATTAGCACCAGGAGTCTCAGAAAACATTAAGGTGTTTACCCGCCTTGAAACAGAGATTAACTCTTGTAGCTTGGATTTCCTAGCTTCACTGATGTGAGAACCCACATACACCAAATCACCTTAGAAAGGGAAATCTCAGAAAGCTTGTTTCAGATTCACTGTGGATGCTTACAAGGTGAATTTAGAAGCTATTCCTGTATGAAATACTGTTAATGACACAGAACTGCTGGGGTGTATCCTGCAGCTTCCTTCACATACTCTGTGCCCCAGATTGAAGACGCTGGGCTTGAATTCAGGAAGCATCTTTGAGGTTTCTAGCTCTGAACACTTGCATTTATATGAGGATAAGTAAGTGGAAGGGAAACAAAATAATGCACTGGAATCTAGGGGAAAGGTATTGTTTCTTTTTTCTTTCCTACCACTAATGTCCTGTGCTTTCTCTGTGCTGATACCCACATGGAAGGGTCCATATTTCACAACTCAAACCCATGACCATGTCAAGCCAACAGGTGCCCTGAATAGCACCTACTGAAATTGGAGGACCCAGTGCTGCTCTTTCATTCAAACGAGATAATGAAGCATCAGGAACACAGGCCAAAATGATCCTAGGCATTGCACTAAAGCTACTGGGGTATGGCAACATTTATTTAGAAAGTGGGAAGCCAATTGTAAAAGAAAAAGATGAGATGAAAATAGTAAGATGAAAAACAGAGAGGGAAGTCTGTTTTGAACAACCATCTAATTTCAGTTCACTGTCAGACTTAGGGGGATTGAACTCATACTGTATAATGTTCCTCATCATTCTGGGAAAGTGCCCACATTCAGAGATGATGGTGCAGAATTGAGTGTTCTTTAATTTTTGCACATCAGTAATTAACGTTGTCACATGGTTGGCTCAGGTCACACTCAGGCTTCAGATAACCAGGCACATTCCAATGGAAGAAAACATCTTTCAAGCACTCATATGTTGGGAATGAATTAGGGTGTTTGTGGTTCATTGTATGTGTGTTTTTAAACATAATTTCTTATTTTCTGATCATCTCTATCAGTGTGCATAATAAGGACAACTCTGTGCTATGGTATGAATATTTGTTTCCTCCAAAACTCACACTGAAATGCAATCCCTAATGTGGCAGTATTGTGAGGTGGGGCCTTTTAGAGGTGACTGAATCACAAGGGTTCTGCCCTTATGAATAGATTAACCCATTTGTGGATTAATGGGTCATCACAGGAGTGGGCTGGTGGTTTTTTAAGAGGAAGGGAGACCTAAGCTAGCACATGAGCACGCTCAGCCCCCCAGCCATGTGATGCCCCACAATGCCTCAGGACTCTGCAGAAAGAGTTCCCCACAGCAAGAAGGTTCTCACTAGATGCAGCCCCTCCACCTTGGACTTCCCAGCCTCCACAACTGTAAGAAATAAAGAAAAGGTTCTTTATAAACTACCCAGTTTCAGCTATTTTGTTATAAGTTATAGAAAACGAACTAAGACACCGTATTCTTTCTTAAGAATTAATTTCTTCATAACTGAGATGAGTCACAATTAAAAAGAGCAGCATGTTTTGCTTTGTTGATGTTTTTTAAACGAGGGGTGTGTAATACACATCCACCTCTCCAAATTGCAGTTTTATGATAGATCATTGTTAAATGCTAAGGTGGTCTGAGCTTATAGTTCTATTATATCCTGCTAATAAAAGACTATGATCAAGGATGTCAACTCAAGAAACTTCCTAGTGTAACCTCCAGGGCTATTTGCAAATTCTCAGGAATGACATTACAAATAGGTTGTGGCTAATAAACTCGTTACTATTCACCTAGTTTTCTTTCTTTCTTTTTTTTTTCGAGATGGAGTCTCGCTCTGTCGCCCAGGCTGGAGTGCAGTGGTGCACTCTCTGCTCACTGCAAGCTCCGCCTCGTGGGGTCACACCATTCCCCTGCCTCAGCCTCCCAAGTAGCTGGGACTACAGGCGCCCGCCACCACGCCCGGCTTTTTTTTTTTTTTTTGTATTTTTAGTAGTGACGGGGTTTCACCGTGTTAGCCAGGATGGTCTTGATCTCCTGACCTTGTGATCCGCCCATCTCTGCCTCCCAAAGTGCTGGGATTACAGGCGTGAGCCACAGCACCCAGCCCTAGGGAATTTGTTTTTAAAGAAGACTCTCCTACTAAAAAGTGAAGAAAAATAAACAAACAAAAAACAGAATAAAGATGGGGGCAAGGGAGTGGAGGGAACCAGTGTAATCAACAATTCAAAAGTGAAATTAAAAGCTTTCTTCCCCACTCCAACTAGTAAAGACTATTACTGACACATTTTCAAATACAAAGAGAAGATCTTCCCTCAAAAAGTTATTTCCGGCCGGGCGCGGTGGTCACGCCTGTAATCCCAGCACTTTGGGAGGCCGAGGCGGGCAGATCACGAGGTCAGGAGATAGAGGCCATCCTGGCTAACACAGTGAAACCCCATCTCTACTGAAAATACAAAAAAATTAGCGGGGCGTGGTGGCGGGCACCTGTAGTCCCAGCTACTTGGGAGGCTGAGGCAGGAGAATGGCGTGAACCCAGGGCAGGTGGCTTGCAGTGAGCCGAGATCGCGCCACTGCACTCCAGCCTGGGCGACAGAACGGGACTCCGTCTCAAAAAAAAAAAAAGTTATTTCCAAAGATGGTAATGAGCTCCTTTGTCCTAAATCTTTGGCCTCTTTACAGTTTCTTTAAAAACAAAAAAGAAGTTGTCCAGGCAGTATGGCTCACGCCTGTAATCCCAGTACTTTGCGAGGCCAAGGCGGGAGGATCACTTGAACCCAGGAGTTTGAGACCAGCCTGGACAACACGGTGAAATCCCGTCTCTCCAAAAAGAAAAAAAAAATACAAAAATTAGCTGGGTGTGGTGGCACGTGCCTGTGGTCCCAGCTACCCAGGAGGCTAAGGTGGGAGGATCTCCTGAGACTGGGAAGTTGAGGCCGCAATGAACCATGACTGCACCACTGCACTCCAGCCTGAGTGACAGAGTGAGACTCCATTTCAAAAACATGAATAAAATAAAATTAAAAGTTGTGTTAAAATCAGGAAGAAGCCAACAGTGGGCCAAAGGCGGAGATGTGCGCATACACACACCTGTCTGTATGTAGGCATAAATGTCTGGCCACCTTCCTTAAGCCCAGTTTAAAGTCCCACAGTTGCTGGACCCACAGTGTTTGAGTTGCTATTTCATCAGAGGTGGGGCTTGGGGCGCAAAGCCGTTACTGTTTAGTTCACTAGGCAGGCAGAGAACCTGGCAGAATGATTTGTCTCAGGGGGAGGACGCTGAAAACAGTGGAGGGGTAAAGAAACACGGGGAGGAAGGAGGAGGTGGGAGCAAAGTGCCGTAAATCGTAAAAAGCCGGCAAAAGCCTGTTTCCAGATTCATTCCCAGTCTCATGAAGCCCCGTCGGGATGTGTGAAGCTTAATCCAGGGAGCCTTAGGGGAAGCGAACTCGAATCTGGGGGAGGAAGACTGGCAGGTGTGGAACCCTGCAGTAAGGGTGTGGGGCGAGATGAACCCCCTGATGGGTTTTTTTCCCCATGCATCCTTTTTCCTCTCTCTTTTTATCCTTGTAGAGTGAGGGATGATGCTGCTGGTGGACTAAGTGTCTGCAGAGCTGATGTTTTTGATAATAAATAAACACATGAAAGCTCTGCTTAATACAACAGCCGTTAGGACATCACAAGAGAACGCGGCACAAGGATGCTCCAGCTGCGCTGCAGATTGGGGCGGGTGGAGTGGGCAGGGGAGGGACAGGGAGGCACAGTCTGTTATGGTCCCCACTGCCCTTTTGCCATGTCCACTGCACATGAGGGACCCTGGAACGGCATTGCGGCACGTTGTGTGCAGACACCTCACATAAAACCCACAAACCTAGGCTTCATAAAACACAGAGAAGGGACCCAGGAGTGCCAGGCATGAGGCTAGGCAGCAGGGCCCTGAAGATAGATAAAACACAGTCCCTGAAACCAGGTGGCTCCCAGGCCAGTGTGAGAAGACAGAAGTGTACGTAAACATCATGACACAGCACGACCAATGTCCTGCCAGAGAGCCAGACACAGGGCTATGCGGGCACAGCCCTGCCCTGGCATCTGACCCTGCCCCTGGCACGCTGGTCGGGCTGCTCCCCAGGATCAATCTGCGCTCCAGTCTGGGCTGGTGAGCCCTGCACAGGAAGGCAAAGGAAAAGAGCATGTCAGAGAGAGGGAACCACATCAGCAAGGGCAGAGAAGCATGAGGGCACTACAGCCAAACAGAACACTCACGTGGTCGGCAGCCCCTCCAAGGGTAGAGGAGGGACTGCTGTGAGGGGCTTTGTCACCAAGGTCACCTGTGCGGGTTTTATCCTAAAGGAACTAAAAAGTAATATGCCAAGTGTAAAACTTCAGCTCCAGAAAAACTAAAGGCGGTGTTTTCTCTTGCAGAGATGCTGAAGTTGAACACGGTGAAATCGTTCCTGGGAAACCCTGCTTGGAGTCCTGACCCTCTCGCTCCCACTCATGGGGTGACTTGAAACTTGGAACTTCACTTTACTCCACTTTTAATTTCCCAAGTGAAAAGTTGATATACATTTTTGTTTCATCATGAACAAGTGGAGAAAGTCCATTTGACCAGAGTGTAAATGTCGAGATTTCCTTGGAGAATGAGTTGGAGTTAGGAGCTCTTCAGAGGTGATGATGGCAAAACGTATCCTGCAACATGTCAACTTCATTATTCTTTTCACCAACATTTTTTTTTGTTTCTAAAGAAAAGGGGGACTGCCAGAGGAAAGAAAAACAAAAAACAAAAACATGATCTGTCATTATCTGGGGTTTCTTTCTTTGGCGTATTCCTATATCTCCAGAATTAGAATACCATTGACTGAATACCTGTGTCTTCAGAAAATACCCTGTACATGTCTGAAAGATTTTCTCCTCTTTAACAACAAACACCTTGAATGCAGAAGGCACCAGCTACTTGGTGGAATTTCCGTGGACGCAGAGGGGACCAGCCTTAACCCATATCGAGTTCCCATGGGCTCCCCCCAGCACACAGCTCCTGGCCATTTGCCAGCCGACCTCCCCTTTCTTTCAGACACACATCCATCTATCTGCTGGCTCTTTTCTTCCTATCTTAACATTCACTCACACTTGGAACCTGACAACACAGCGCAGAGTCAAGGTAATGAACTTTCTGTGTAAACTGCCTCTCTGTGTTAGTGTGTACGCCAACTTGGCAAAGCACAGATTGTAAAAGATATTGAGTTGCTGGGTGTGGGAGCACGTGCCTGTCATCCCAGCTACTCGAGAGACAAAGTGAGAGGCCTGCTTGAAGCCAGGAGGTCAAGACCAGCCTGGGCAACATAGTAAAACCCGGTCTGTAAAAACATTTTTAAAAATTAGCTGAGCATGGTGGTGGGTGTCTGTAGTTCCAGCTACTCAGAAGGCTGAGGCGGTGGATGACTTGAGCCCAGGAGGTCAAGGTTATGACTGCACCACTGCTCTCCAGTCTAGGCAACAGAGCAAGACCTTGTCTCCAAAAAATTAAAAAATAAATTCAAACAGATGCCTATTATACAAAATCTCTTCAGATGAACACTAGCCCCTGATTTCTACACGTACTAAAAAAGGATCTTTGAAGTGAAGATTAAATAAAAAGAGAGACCGGGTGTGGTGGCTCACACCTGTAATCCCAGCACTTCGGGAGGCTGAGGTGGGTGGATCACCTGAGGTCAGGAGTTCAAGACCAGCCTGGCCAAGATAGCGAAACCCCACCTCTACTAAAAATACAAAAATTAGCCAGGCATGGTGGCGCATGCCTGTAATCCCAGCTACTTGGGAGGCTGAGGCAGAAGAATCGCTTGAATCTGGGGGGCGGAGGTTGCAGTGAGTCAAGATCACACCACTTCACTCCAGCCTAGATGAAAGAGCGAAACTCCATCTCAAAAAAGTAAGTAAGTAAATAAATAAATAAATAGCAAGCGAAAGACACTGAAGTCCATCTAGCGGAGTAGCCATTACTGATCATCAATATCCCTGCGGAGCACTGAAAACATAACCATTACCAGCTCTTACCCAGTCCTACTGAAACGCCATCGCTAGGCAGGGGGAACCTGGGAATCAGGAACATTTTTAAAAGTCTCTAGTAACTCTAATGATTAGGTAAATCTGGAAACCAATATTCTAGCCAGCCCTCCATTTACAGACGGGAGAATTAAGTGAGTGCCCCACGAACTCTTAGCTGGTTACAATGGCTGTATGTCCTGGAATATAATGTCTTTAAGGTCTATAAAAAATAGCTTTTTTATAAAGTTATAAATCAAAACAGCAAATGATTCAATAAAGAATGTTCTACCCTCTACCAGGTTTGAATTTTGAATTCTTGGACTCTTCGCAAGATGGCATCATGGCAAGAGTGGCCTCCTCGATGCTTTGCATCCTATCTCTGACTGTCCAGAACTTTGGCCTGCAGATCCAAGCTCCATCTGCACACCTGCACACAGACCTGCCTTGGCCTAAGGACATCCCATCAACAGTGCTGCCGGCTCTCAGGAGGAGGGTCCCAGGAAGCAGTCCATATGGGCCCCAGAAGTGCATTCAAAGTTGCTTCAGAAGAATTTCTGAGGTCAAGAACTCCTGAGTAAGCACACACCCACAAGCATTGGGTGGAAAGATGTCCTTGGCCCTATGTCCTTCACCCTGCAGACATCTCACTCCATGGGAAGGGCATGGCTGGCTCATGGCCAGGACAGAATCTCCTAAAGCAGGGGTTCCTCTTACCCAGGTCTAAGAATGGAACATTCTTCTGGAATACAGAACAATTCCCGCCCAACTGAAAGTCAGCCTCTCTCCCTCTCAATATATATTCATAGATGGAAATATGTATATATATATTTACAACAACTGCTTTTCTACAAAGCATTGGTATACAGAAAAATTTTAAGGAAACTGTAATATGTTTCTGAAGTAAAAAACTAGGCGGAGGGCTGGGTGAGGTGGCTCATGCCTGTAATCCTAGCACTTTGGGAGGCCGAGGCACGTGGGTCACTTGAGGTCAAGAGTTCGAGACCAGCCTGGCCAACATGGTGAAACCTAGTCTCTACTAAAAATACAAAAATTAGCCAGGTGTGGTAGCAGGTGCCTGTAATCCTAGCTACTCGGGAGGCTGAGTCAGGAGGATCGCTTCAACTGGGAACAGAGGTTGCAGTGAGCCAAGATCGCGTCACTGCACTCCAGCCTGGGCAACAAGAGTGAGACTCCATTTCAAAAAAAAAAAAAAAAAAAAAAGGCTAGCCTGGGCAAGGAGGCTCACGTCTATAATCCCAGCACTTTGGGAGGCTGAGGTGGGCGGATCACAAAGTCAGGAGTTCGAGACCAGCCTGGCCAACACGGTGAAACCCCATCTCTACTAAAACTACAAAAATTAGCCAGGCGAGGTGGCACATGCCCTATAATCCCAGCTACTCAGGATGCTAAGGTAGGAGAATCACTTGAGCCTGGAAGGAGCAAATTGCAGTGAGCCGAAATCGCACCACTGCACTCCAGCCTGGGTGACAGAGTGAGACTCTGCAAACAAAATTAAAAATTAAAAATTAAAAATAAAAATAAATAAAAGACTGCAACACAACAACTGAACGATAAAGAGTTTTTAGGTAATCGAGTAATGTCCTATAATTGAGTTGGATTCTGCTATTTCTTTTCTTGTTCAGTCCTGTGTTTTTGGTAATTACTATCATTTACTCAGAGCTTAGTATGTGCAGGATACCAGGCTAATCACGTTTCATTTCAATATCTTATGTGGACTACTGGAAACCCTAGGGGAGGGGTCTATTATCCCTATTTTACAAGGAGAAACTGAGATGCAAGGAAGTTCGGTCATTTTCTCAAGGTCTCACTGTTAGCTCTGTGGCACATCTTGGAACAAAACCTATGACTGTCTCATTCTTAAGCTCACTTCTTTCTGGCCCCATCAACTGTCTCTGAAATGAAATGTGGATATATTTCTCCACGTTTCTTTAAGATGAGTAATTTTCTTCCAGAGAAAAAAACGTTTACTATTTCTGTAATATTATAATAATACAAGCTATATAACAAGATTTGTAAAAATTTGTTTGTAATTGTGCTCAGAGACGGTTCTCTTTGGAGCCATAGAAGTGAGACAGAAGCTATGAAACATTAAGATGAAAGAATATTCAAATGCTGGCTAACATTTTAGGAAATTACTATCCTAACATAACTTTCTAGGGAAAAATCTTTTAAAATCAATTACAAGAATATTTTGCTTCAGAAATCACCTCCTATACCAAGGACTCAAGTTTTTATCCAGCTTCTGCATAAAAAGGATTGACAGAATTTTTTTAAGTAAGTAATTCTTCCCATAGCAATTTATTTTCTGTTCAGTGGAAGATTCTAAACAGAAATACTATTTACAATGTTTCAGTTACTTAAAAAAAAAAAAAAAACAACTAGCCATTTATGAGAAATCACAGAAATTCTTCCAGTAGTATGAAAATAGTTTAAAGTCAGACAGCCTCACGGTGAAAGAAGAGAAATTAACTTTTACATTTTCTTGGGAACATTGATCTCACAGGCAGCATTTTTAGATGCATTGCTGCTAAGCTATTTTTTAAATACTCAGATGGCGTGGCAGACATGATGGCGGCGCCCATCAGCCGTCCAACTCTCTTTCCTTTGTTACGTTCTTGATTTTCATTTGGTGAGCCACATCACCCCCACACAGCTTGTGTTTTGGGGAACGCTAGCTCCATCTCTGCATAGGACTAGAGCACTTGGTGCCAGCCTTAAACAAGAAAGCAATGGCTCTGGACGTCACCGGCAGCCATCTTGTGACCCCAAGAAGGAAGTGATTATGTCACGGAAGCTGTGGAGAGCAGGCAAACGGCAGGGCTGAGACCCAGCTCTTCATCTCGTTGTTTTACTGAATCAATTCTAACATAAGCCCACCCTATCTCTGGGAGACCAGATACGTCAACCAGTGAATCCCACATGTCACTTAAGCCGATTTGACGTTTGTACTTTGTTGCTTATGATCAAGGACATCCTAATTAATACAGACAGCAAGTGAAGACGTTCACAGACTTCTTACACTCTTCCATAAGTATAAACAAAAATAGAAGTGTATGTCTTATGTGGGCTTAGAAAAAAATTTTAAATAATAGCCCAATAATGAATGTCATTATTAGTCCTGACCAAAAATAGTAGGGGATAAATGATTGCTCCTGTCAAGCACAAAGTGTGGGAACATGTTCACTGAGCCTCATATACTTCATGGAAACATTCAACCACTTAAAAATGTGAAAAGAACAAAGAAGGCAGAGGAGGATATGAATTTTGGAGTGATTCTAAGACAACTGAAGTAAATGGGAAAGATGAGATATGCTAAGAAAGCAACTGCTTTGCAAAAAAAAAAAAGTCACAAATTCAAACCACTGTGAAGGTTACCTAACCTTCAAGTAAACCCACTTAGATTTCTGTATATTAGTCATCTATTCCTAACATGAAATTTCTAGGTAAGCCATTGAACACACATTTCTACTTTCTTTGGAGATAAAGAAGAGATCCTTTTAACATAGCTTTATAGGAATATTAACATGATATTAATATTAACCTGTAATGGCTTATGAAAAAATAATGTTGAAAGTCATTTTCTCTGTGGAGTTAAGATAGGAATCACAGCTTGCACTGCCAGTAAGGAAAATGTTTAATTCAGTAGAAAAGGCTAGAAGCCCCTTTAGAAGCAGAGGGAAGCCTCCGTATTGGAGGTTACTGAAGCTCTAGAGGAAGCTCCAAAGCCCAGATGACTAAGAGCTGGGGATCCTGTGGCTCACCAGGAACCCCACTAAGCATGAACTAAGCATCGCCAGGTGCAGTGACCAGGGAGAGAAAACTAAGAAGAGCCAACCTCTGAGAAGAGGCACTGAGGTCTCTAGTGTATGGGTCAAGTGCTTTGGACAAGGAAAGATTAATTTTGATGGCACATTAAGACGCTGTGAGTTCTTTGATGGGTCGCAAAAAATGAAGGGAATTGACTTTTGGTGTCAAAGGCTTAGTCACTTAACATAATCCTTGGGTTTGGGTTGTATTTATTTTTTTGACTCACATTAATGGAAAAAGGAACATTTGTTTTCGTTGGGAAACTTAGAGAGCTAACTCTGCCCTGCTTGTTTTACTCAGACAGCTACAGTGAGAGGGACCATAGGGCGGGAAGTTTACGGGGAACTCCAACAGCCCAGTGGTTCTCAACCTTTTCTGGGATCAGAAACTGGTTTCACAGAGGATAATTTTTCCATGGACCAGGACAGGGCTCAGGGGAAGATGGTTTCGGGATGATTTCAGCACATTACATTTATCGTGCACTTTATTTCTATGATTGTTACATTGTAATGTATAATGAAATAATTCTACAACTCACCATCATATAGAATCAGGAGGAGCTCTGAGCTTGTTTTCCTGAAACTAGACAATCTCCTCTGGGGGTGATGGGAGACAGTAACAGATCATCACGCATTAGATTTTTTTTTTTTTTTTTGAGTCAGAGTCTCACTCTGTCGCCCGGGCTGGAGTGTAGTAGCATGATCTCAGCTCACTGCAACCTCCGCCCCCCAGGTTCAAGCAATTCTCGTGCCTCAGCCACCTGAGTAGCTGGGATTACAGGCTTGCCCCACCATGCCTAGCTAATTTTTATATTTTTAGTAGAGACAGGGTTTTGCTGTATTGGCCAGGCTGGCCTTGAACTCCTGACCTCAAGTGATCCACCCACCTCGGCCTTCCAGATTGCTGGGATTACATACGTGAGCCACCGCACCTAGCCCCACACATTAGAGTCTCATCAGGAGCACACAACCTAGATCCCTCGCATGCGCAGTTCATCATAGGGCTCGTGCTCCTGCGAGAATCTAAGGCCGCCACTGATAGGACAGGAGGCGGAGCTCAGGCGGGTGATGGATGGGGAGCAGCTGTAAATACAAACGCAGCTTCGCCCACTCACCTGCCGCTCGTCTCCTGCTGTGCAGCCCTGCTCCTAACAGCCCACAGATAGGGTATCTGGGGTTGGGGACCCCTGCTATGGCCCAATAAGGCAAGTTCACACAGACTGCATGAAAACAAAATGTGGCCGGGCACGATGGCTCACGCCTGTAATCCCAGCATTTTGGGAGGCTGAGGCGGGTGAATCATGAGGTCAGGAGTTCGAGACCAGCCTGTCCAACATGGTGAAACCCCATCTCTACTAAAAATACAAAAAATTAGCCAGGTGTGGTGGGGGGCGCCTGTAATTCCAGCTACTCAGGCTGCTAAGGCAGGAGAATCACTTGAACCCGGGAGGCGGAGGTTGCAGTGAGCTGAGATCACGCCACTGCACTCCAGCCCAGGAAACAGAGTAAGACTCCGTGTCAAACAAACAAACAACAACAACAAACCAAAATGTAATTTAGTCAGGAGAATAAAGAAGTTACCCCTAATTTTCATAATCATTTAAGAAAAAAATAAAAGGTCTGTAACTTACCCTCCCAGGACTACTTTTAACTCATCATTTTTACATATATTTTATCTCAAGTATACTGGGAAAAACTCTTAGGTTTTCTTTACAGAATATTTCCCAACACTCGCTGGAAATGACTCTAGAACATTCTTCTACACTGTCAAGACCCAATCAGAATTACAAACCCTAAAATAAACTAAAAAGAGGGTGAGTGGTAAAATTAAAATAAAAGCATAAAAATGTGAAAAAAAAGAAATCAGTATTAGATAAAATGAATTTATGGTATCTCTCATTATTGGTAGGAATTTTTGGATCCACCTTCTGGCTGTATGCAAACTTCATAAGCAGGTCTTCCATGGGTGGATCCAAGCTATTTTCTTTCAATGTTGGAAAGAGTATGCTCTGACCCAGTCCTGGGAAAAATCCCAAGAAATTTCCTTTTGGGTTTATCCGCTACCCCCCAACCCTGACACAATCCACTGCTCAGCAGCCTTGGTGTGTGGTTGCTCAGCTATCATCCATCGTGTAACTGCAGCACTATTTAGTCCCTATTTTTCTCTCTCATCTACAAGGACAGTCAACGATTCATTCAAGAATCATCCACTGAACACTTACATGCCAGGCCCTGAAAGTGCTGGAACAAATGGCATTTGACCCTGACTTCCAGGAAATCCCTCTGAACCCATCCACAGGCCAGCACACAATTAGTATAGAAATGTGATGAATGCAGCATGATGCGTCATCACGCAGCCCGATTTCACCTGTGCCGCCTTTTGCTGGAAATTCAATATAACTGCATGCCCATTATTTTTCTGGATTTAGCAATCTAATTAGCAGGTAAAAAAGCAAAAGCCTGCGGCCTTTTCTTTCTTTTTTTTTTTTTTATTCTGAGAAAGGGTCTCACTCTGTCGCCCTAGCTGGAATGCAGTAGCGTGATCTTGGCTCACTGCAACCTTGCCTCCTGGGTTCAAGCAATTGTCCTGCTTCAGCCTCCAGAGTAGCTGGGACTACAGGCGCCCTCCACCACGCCCTGCTAATTTTTGTATTTTTAGTAGAGATGGGGTCTCACCATGTTGGCCAGGTTGGTCTCAAACCCCTGGCCTCAACTGATCTGCCCGCCTTGGCCTCCCAAAGTTTTGGGATTACATGCGTGAGCCACTGCACCTGCCCACTGCGTCCTTTTCTTAAGGTTTTGAACACTCATCTCTTCAGTGACACACTTTTAGTATCTGTCAAGGACCAACTTATTTCTTACCATCAAAACTTTGTCATCAGTTTAAATGTTTCTCTTTTTTTCTTTGCTTTTTTTTTTTGAGATGGGGATCTCACTCTGCCACCCAGGCTGGAATGCAGTGGTGAGACCATGGCTCACTGCAGCCTCGACCTCCCCAGGCTCAGATGATCCTCCCACCTCAGCTTTCCAACCAGGACTACAGGTGCACACCACCACACCCAGCTAATTTTTGTATTTTTAGTAGAGATGGGGTCCCATTATGTTGCCCAGAGTGGTCTCGAATTCCTGGGCTTGAGCCATCCTCTTGCCTCAGTCTCCTAAAGTGCTGGGATTACAGGCATGAGCCACCGTGCCCAGCCACATTTCTATTATTTTAAACATTCACTAATTTTTTAAAAAGTCAAAATAGTTTATCAGAACTGTATTTTAAGGCTGGGGGCGGTAGCTGACGCTTGTAATCCCAGCACTGTGGGAGACCAAGGCAGGTGGATCACCTGACATCAGGCGTTCGAGACAATCCTGGCCATCATGGTGAAACCCCTTCTCTACTAAAGACACAAAAATTAGCAGGGCATGTGGCACATTCCTGTAATCCTAGCTACTCGGGAGGCTGAGGCAGGAGAATTGCTTGAACCCAGGAGGTTCAAGGGAGGTTGAGGTTGCAGTGAGCCAAGATCACACCACTGCACTCCAGCCTGGGCAACAAGGTGGGATTCTGTCTCAAAACAAAAAAACAAAAAAACTGTATTTTAAGCCAAAAGACATCTGTAATTACCGATAAATTATTCTTCATAATTGATTTGAAAGAAAGAATGTACTTAGAATATGCAGTTGAGAGCAGAGATTCCCAATGTTTTTCCTGTTTCCACACACTGAAAAAAACCAATCATGTTTGCAGAATTCACTGGGGTAAAGGCTGAGGCAGGCCTCCCACAGCAAATTCGGTCACAACATGTCACACAGCACGGCACGGATGACAGCTTCGGTCAGGAATATTCTCTGAGACTGTGTAAAGTGTAAAGTGTTCTTTTTACCAGTTACAGGGAGATGCAAATAGTCTACTTATAGCTCACATAAGAAAAAAAAAGTATCTGTTTACCCGTTTCCTTCAAGGTTTCCACAGAGAAAATAAAGTACCATTTGCTTCTGAAATTTCATAGCTGTTATTTGTTCAATAGGCTTGCAAATAAGATCCCCAAATGAGGCTCATTTCCATCCATACAACATACACACAGTACTTAATGTGTTGAAAGCACCGTGCTAGCTTATCAAGGGCCTACCTGTGACGAAGATATTACAATTCCTATTCTTGCAGTGAGACGACCTAGGCACAGACATGGTTCATTAACTTGCTGAATACCACAGAGCCAGGATTTTGAGATTCTAAACTCCTTCTCCTTCTCCCCACTCCTTCTGACAGAACCTGCAACTTGGGCAAAGCTCTGCTGAACCAGAAGGGGTGGGGGCAAGCTGCCAGCAAACAAAATCAGAAATTTGGAGAAACAGACTCCCAAGCTGGAGTCTCTCAAGCAAAGCAAATGAAGAGTTTTCTAAGAGGAGAAATTGCTGGGGCTAGGAGCGCTGATTCTTCGAGAGGAAGGAGCTATTCTGCAGAATAAAAATAAGGACATCTGTCAGTTTCTGTCTTCCAAAAGGGGAGCTTCGTAGAACATGACATTACAAGTTTTTTCCTTCTCATTAAAGTCACAGAATGTGAGATGCTGGTGCTATCAGAAATCAGCAATTGTGCGAGCAGAGCTACAAGAGTTTCCATGTAGAATTCCAGGCGCATAGAAGCTTCCCCTTGAACTCCAGAGACACAAAAAGAATTCCCAAACAAACAAACAAAAAATATATATATATATCCACTTAGTCATTTGATTGTTAAATAACAATCTGTTTCCAGAAGCATTATCATGAGAAGCATCTAAGGGCTTACATTATCAAGCAATTAAAGCAACAGTATGCAAATCAATATCACTAAACAAATAAAAGACACCGAAAAACAAAATGTTAATTATAAAGTAGATAAACATTAGGCTCTCCTTGAAAACAAGGTTACACGTGATTGTGTGCTAGAGAAAATGCAGACGAAAATGCTCCTGAGGCTTCCTTGGGTTTGGGGGGAAAAATTAAATTTAAAAAAAAAATTTAAGCAAGGATGAGCTTAAAGCCCTTTCTGGTTCTGATTAGGTTTGTTTGTTTGCTTGTTTTGAGACAGAGTCTTGCTCTGTCGCCCAAGCTGGAGTGCGATGGCGTGATCTTGGCTCCCTGCAACCTCCGCCTCGCGGGTTCAAGTGATTCTCCTGCCTCAGCCTCCCGAGTAGCTGGGATTACAGGCGCCCACCACCATGCCCGGCTAAGTTTTATATTTTTAGTAGACACAGGGTTTCACCATGTTGATCAGGCTGGTCTTGAACGCCTGACCTCGGTGATCCACCCGCTTTGGCCTCCCAAAGAGCTGGGATTACAGGCGTGAGCCACTGCACCCGGCCTGATTAGGTCTTTTTAAAAGCTTCTCTATATTGCTAAAGCAGGAAAATAGAAAGGGGACTTTCTCTTTCTGAGGCGGGAGGTCCTGTACATCACTGCCCACTGAATGAATTCACATACACATTCAAATGGATACTGATCACTTTCCACGGCCCAGGAATGAGCTATGTATTGAAGCCAAAGCAGGAACCAGAGGAATGAGGTTCCCGCCCTCACGAAGACGACATTCCAAGAGGAGAAAGGAAGACAGCAAGCCAGGCAGAGCCACCGCTGACTGTGACAAGGATGCGGAGAGAAGTGGGGGGATGAGAGGGACACCAACGGGGACTACGGAGGTGAACGCCTTTCCACCCTCCCAGAGGAAGATGGGGAACCTCACCCCCTCGCTCACTCCCACTGTTCTTCCACATTTATAGATTTGGTGATACAAAATGAGGGGCAGACAGGTGGGGCTGCACAGCCTACGTGGGATGCAATCGGCCAGCCCTGCAGCAGACACGATTGCACTCTGGGGCTATGGCTATGACTAAAACCCTCAGGATGTCTAAGGAGACTCCAGCCAGCAGGCTACTCTGAGGCGGCATCCAACTGAGGGTGCAGTGCTGCAGGAGCTCACAAAGGGGGAGGCTGGCCAGGGTCGGGGGCCAAGGGAAGGCTTCCGGATGGAGAGGAAGAACAAGCAGGATTTATCCAAGGAAAGAGAGTGAGGGGTGACGGGAACGGAGTTCTCCATGCAGAGGGAAAAGCCTCTGTAAAAGGCCCGAGGTGGTAGAGAGCTTAGTGCAATGGGAACAGCAGGTGGTTTAGTGAGGTATGATTATAAAAGGATGGGGAGAGGAGGCGGAGGCTGGGTAGATGTGGAGGGATACAGTAAAGAACAGCTAGCGTGAATAGCAAGCAGGCTTAGAGTATGGACTTTATCCAGACCACGCCCAGCTGCTAAAGAGACCTGGGAGGGCCAGGCAGTGGAAGCTGTGGTTCTGCACACGAGGCAAACAGAAACATCTGCTAGAAGCCTGGCCCCTCCCACCCCCTAGCCCTTTTCATTGTACTTCCAGTCAAAGAGTGAGTTGTTACTGGGGTGGAGAGAGGGCTTCTAGCAAACCCAGAAGATGGCCTCCCCTTCTCTGAGGCCCCTCCTAATACAAGGATATCGGAATCCCCCCGTCCTCCACCATTCAGCTGCCTGTGGTCACTAGAGGCACAGGTCAGGGTGGGGATAGGATGAGGCTACCGGGCCGGGCTGTGGATAGGATGAGGCTACAAGGCTGGACATCGGTGGCCTGCCTCTGCTTGCTGAGATGAGAAGCCAGCTTGTGCCTCTGCAGCGCTTTCTTTCTCATTTGCATGCCAAACTAGAGAAAGAACACGTCTCCTTCCCTTCTCCACCATATGGTTGGTGTTCCCATCTGAGTGAGCCGCCTCAATATAGCACCACAGCCTCACAAAGGCTAAAGGAGTCACGGATGCTCTCCTGCCAATTCCTCACCATGTTCTTCAACAGACTGTATCTTCTAAGAATAAAAGAGATTACTAATATTTGCACAATTGTATGCTTACTTCCCACCCCCGCCCTCCCAAAATCAGGACATCTTTACATTAGCAAATCCAGTAGCACTACCACCAGGAATTCTGCCTGGGACCTTGGGAAATATTTGGCATTTCTGCAACCTGCCTCTATACACCCTGCTGGCCACAGATGAGATAAAGAAGTGAATGGATGTCATACGTCCATGCGTTTGCATTAAAGAAAGACGCAGAGGCTGTCTTCAACAGGCAGGAAGGTAATCGCAACACTGAAGGGACCTACTTCCTTCTGTGAGAGTTGAGAACAAACGCATGACTTTCGAGAGAGGGAGAATGTTCTAGAAGTATCTACAGTAGTCGTATTTTAGAAATATAGGTTTCCAAATTATCTTCAGAAATAAAGTATGGACGTGGCGCAGTGGCTCACACCTGTAATCCCGGCACTTTGGGAGGCTGAGGCGGGTGGATCACATGAGGCAAGGAGTTCAAGATCAGCCTGGCCAACATGGTGAAACCCCGTCTCTACTAAAAATACAACAATTAGCCGGGCATGGTGGTGCACATCTATAATCCCAACTACTTGGGAGGCTGTGGCAGGAGAATGGCTTGAGCCCGGGAGGTGGAGGTTGCAGTGAGCTGAGATGAAGGCACTGTACTCCAGCCTGGATGAGAGAGAGAGACTGTATCAAAAAAATAAAAATAAAAAGTATGGTCTTAATTCTGAGTTGCTTTTACAGATGCCTGTTCTTTTGGTGCTCGGTGGCTCCTCAGATTTCCTGAGCAAGAACACTGAAGTACACAGGAAGCATGTCCAATATTCAGAGAAAATGTGAACAGTATTCTGTTCTGTGCTGAAAACAGTTACTGACAGAAGGCAAGATGCCAGAATCAAAACTTCTAACTGAAAATCACTGTGGAACAACAGAAAAAGCCTCAGCTTTGGAGGAAGCTGGGTCCAAATGCCCATTCCGACATCTGCTGGCTGTATAACTTCAAACAAGTTATTCAACCCCTCTCAGTCTGTTTCCTCATTGGCGAAAACTGCATATAAGGCCAGGCACAGTGGCTCAGGCCTACAATCCCAGCACTTTGGGAGGCTGAGGTGGGAGAAACGCTTGATCCCAGGAGTTTGAGGCCAGCCTGGGCAACAGAGTGAGACTGCGTCACTACAAAAAATACAAAAAATAGCCTGGTGTGGTGGCACACACCTGTAGTCTCAGCTCCTCAGGAAGCTGAGGTGGGAGGATCGCTTGAGCCCCAGAGGTCAAGGCTGCGGTGAGCTATGATCGTGCCACCGCACTCTAGCCCAGGTGACAAAGCAAAATACCGTCTCAACAAAACAAAACAAAAACCACATATATAATATGCCCCTTAGAGGATTATGGTGAGAATTCAATCAGATTATGTGTAAAATACCTGGTATAGCACCTTAACTAAACCTGGTATATTGCCTTAACTAAAACATACCTGCTAGCAAGAGAAACTGGAAAACCTCCAAGGGTATTTTATAAGATGAAAAGAGCTCTGCAGACAGATGGTGGTAAGGATCATATAACAATGTGAAATGTACTTAATGCCACTGAACTGGATACTTAAAAATGCCTAAGATGGTAAATTGTATGTTATGTGTATTTTGCCACAATACAAAAGAAAAACTGCAAGGACTGTTTGGAAAGTGTTTAAAATGTCTAGATGAAGAAACCTCCACAGTAATCAAGAGGGAGATTTCTCCTACTTTAAATAGGATAGTTTTCTTGCAAGCCTAGTGAATTGTCTCTTATAACTGAAATATGCAATTTAAGTACTGAATTGTTACTAATAAAATGCTCAATGGAGTATCATTTAAATATAAAGTGAAACATCAGGTTTTATCAGGAATCACATTTTTTTTAGAAGGGAAGGAAGAAAAGAATTAATCATTATAAGATAAAAACCCCCTTTTCGCACTGCAGATCATTACTCCTAACCTCAACTTGGTTAACATTCAGAAATAAAATCCGTTTTGCCACATTAAAATCTGTAGGCCTCATTTTTAGCAAATACTGATATTTGCAAAGCCATGAACCGATAGATCTGAAAGGCAGAGGGCCTCTTCCCCCCCAGCAAGATGGCGTGGGTCCCTTCTCTCTTCTAAAGGAATCCTCACACCTCCACCCTCCCCCAGACCAGAGTTCTTTGAATCTAAGAGCTCCTGCACTGCGCCGTGGGCTTAGGGGGTACTCAACAAGCCATTGGTGAATGAACACAACTTTGTATCTAACCTATTCCCATCGGTGACATCTGAACAGTTTTGCACTGACTCACTGCTTCATTGACTACGTTTACTAAAACAAACAAGCAACTTAAAAGGGCAGTGACTTTCTCAAGAAAAGCGGATGGGAAGTCCCAGGAAATGACGATTCTCAGTGGTACCATCCAACACAACCGGATTCCGGGTCAGACCTGGGCAGCCACGGGGCAGGTATACCCAGGCTCTCACTATGCCACCCACAGGAAGGCCTCCCGAGCCCCCAAACTCTCCTCCTCCACCACACCCCACATCAACCTCTCTCATGTTCCCCACAGCTCCTATCAGCTTCCAAAATTATCTTGTTGATCATCCACTGTCCCTGCCCCTCCACTCTCCAACATACGCCCCATCAAAACAGAGACTTTGTCTGTCTGGGTCACGGCTGCATCCTCTCTTCCAGCACAGTATATGGCATCTGCCAAATGAAGGAATGAGTGAGCAACTAAACAAAGAATGGAACAAAACCAAGCCTCATCTGCTTGTGCTGCCACCCAAGTCCCACTGAACATGGGCAGAATCCCGGCCACCATCATGACCTCAAAATGCCAGACTCATTCAAGGTGAGACCTCCCCTTGGAGAACCCCGAGATGTTGCCTCCCAGCGGCAGAGAGAAGCGAAAGCTGATGGGCCGGCAGGAAGAAAAGCTGCACCGGACTCTAGCTACAAGGTTGTGAAACACCAGCATGACGAGAAAGTCAAGACTCGTAGTGACACTCAGCCCGGGAGTGGAAGGTCAGCCAGGCGGCTCTGGGGGGCTGTCTGGAAGGAGCATCTCCTACATGGATGGCATCTGACAGCAGAAAATGGATGTGCAGCTCCAGCTGGAGAGGGAACAATAGTTCCTTAGTCCCCACACCACTAAGCCATGGGATGATTCCAGCCACCTCCCACCCCGCGCTCTGTCCCTGTTGAACTCCTGCTTACGGGACAATGGGTGGGACAACAGGATGATCACTTGGGGGCAGAGGCAGGAGGATGGCTTGAGCCCAGAGGTGTGGCTGAAAACAGCTGCTGTAGGAGGATGAGGGAGCATCTGTGTTTGGAGGTGTCTCCTGACAAAGCAGATGGGCTTTTTGGTTTTATTTTCTTCTCTCCCCAATGAATCACTGCACACTCCATACTGTGCAGCGTGAAACAGAATAAAGGCAGGTGAGAAAGGACGATGCTAGGACACAAGGACCTGCAAAGAAATTACTCAGCAACATGCAAAACAGCTGTTCTTACCCAGGATGGGACTGAAAGTCACTCTTCAAGAGACAGAAAAAACTCCTGTGAGCTGATGCCAGTGCACCCTGAATCTCACCAGCATGCCTCAGCCCCCCTCCCAATTCCCCAGGAGCCGCTGAGAGAGGACTGGAGCAGCTCAGGTGATCCCTCTGACTAAAGCCAGGTGGTGCCAGACTCGGGAAATATTCTTTCTGTGCAGGTTTCAAACTCCACGGACCACGGCCTCAAAGAGTCAAACCACTGCAAAAGGGTCAGGGCATCCCTCACAAAGGCCTGTGCCTACCTTTTAAAAAGAGTAACTCCTGGCTGGGAAAGTTGGCTGACGCTTGTAATCCCAGCACTTTGGGAGGCAGAGATAGGAGGATGACTTGAGCCCAGGAGTTCGAGACCAGCCTGGGCAACATAGAGAGACCCCATCTCCACCAAAAAGATAAAAATTAGCTGGGCATGATGGTGCGTGCCTGTGGTCCCAGCTACTGGGGAGGCAGAGGTGGGTGGATCGCTTGAGCCCAGGAGGTTGAGGCTGCCCTGAGCCATGATTGTGCTACTGCACTCCAGCCTGGGCAACAGAGTGAGATGCTACCTCAAAAAATTAAGAAAAGAGTAACTCTTCAGTTTTCACGGAGCCCTCGGAACCGAGTATCTACAGCCACCCTGAGTGTCTGCTCAGGGATATAAGGACGCTGTTAATAAGCGCATCATGCCCAGGTGCTCTCTATCGCTGCACTTGAAGTTGACCTTCTCCAGGTCAATCTTCCATGGAGATGAGGTGGAACCAGCCAGAAACCTCGGTTATTTGAGGAGCACTGTTGCCTCACCACTCAGAGCTTCTTCTCAGGGAAAAAGAAATACAAATGCCTGGATTCCATTAACCTCCTCCCATGGGACCACTAATGCATCCTTTCATCTATTTTTTGCTCCTCTCTGGTACCTCTCCAATTTCCCCATCTTCTCCCAAAGTGTGGCAGCCACAACTAAACATGACACTCCAGTGATGAAACCAATATCCAAACGCATGGCTTCTCCGCCACGCTCAGCTCCTGTGTAACTATCAGAGCAGGAACGACTGACTCACTGCAGGTCAGCCTGCTGGGGCCTCACGGGGACACCAAGTCAGGCAACACTCACATTTCAACCTGAGCATGAGGCAGCATAAGACAGGACACTCAGCCAGGCGCCGTGGCTCAGGCCTGTAATCCCAGCACTTTGGGAGGCTGAGGTGGGCGGATCATGAGGTCAGGAGATTGAGACCAGCCTGGCCAAAACGGTGAAACCTCGTCTCTATTAAAAATACAAAAATTAGCTGGGCGTGGTGGTGCGTGCCTGTAATCCTAGCAACTCGGGAGGCTGACGCAAGAGAATCGTTTGAACCAGGGAGTTGGAGGTTGCAGGGAGCCGAGATCATGCCACTGCAGTCCAGCCTGGGCAACAGAGTGAGACTGTCTAAAAAAAGAAAAAACAAAAACAAAAAACAAGACACTGAACACATGAGCAGTCCAAAGATCTGGGTCCCAGCCCTCCAAACTCTTGGAGTTTCATATTCTTCATCTCTAAAACAGAAATAAATACACCTGACTTATTTACCCCAGGCTTCTGTAAGGTTCAAATATATATAGGAGAAAACAGCTAAATCAGACAATGATGCTGAAAGGTCATATTCTGCCATCAGAATATAATCCAGGCTTCTTCCAATGGCCTGCAAGGGCCCACCCTGATCCGACCCTATCAGCTGTTCTGCCACTCAACTCCCTCCCTCTGCTCCAGCCACGGGCCCTCTTGCTGTTCTCCAACTGGGTCCAAAGTTCTTACCCTTTCAGGGCCGTGACATTCCTATTCCCCTGCCTGGAAGTCTCATTCCCTAGATCCTGCATGGCTGGCTCCCTGAATTTCCAGTTTCTGCTCATAAACAGTCTCTGACTCCCCTTCCCTCATCTAAAATAATCACTTGTTAAATGGGAGAGAAAGATTTGGGAGAAAGATTTCAAGAAGGGATGCGAATCTTAGCAACAAAGTCTGCAAACCAGGAAGCCTGTAGTGAGTTGAATGAGACGTTGGTTAGGTGGAGACACTGCCCATCAACCAAAGCAACGGGGCCTTCATTCAGCACAGAGGGATGGGTTTAGCTGGAGTGACAACACCAGCCTTCGCACGGTGTGGTGCGTTAAGAGCTCGGTTCATTCGCTCACTCATTGAACAAATATTTACTGAGCACCTCCTGTGTGCCAGGGCTGGGAAGAGAGACAGAAACACGGTCTGCTCTCATGTGTTTGCAGCCTCCTGGAGAAACTTTCAGGTAGTGGAAAGTGCTTTCCTCACGCTCTATCCTGTCATATCACTTTATTTGCCTGGAGCACTTACACGATCAGAATTGTTCCCAATTCTGAATGACAGCCCCTACATGATGAAGGACCATGTCTTGGCTTTTCAAAGTGTTGGGAATGAAGCTTTTGATGTCACCAAAAAAAAAAAAAAGGATTAACGTGGGAACAAGTGATCTCTCAGCAAGGAGAGCTTTACTTTCTGCAGAAAGGGTGCTACTCAATAGCTGTCCAGCCACGAGAGCACACTGAACAAAGGAGACAGAGTTATTTATAACCTGACACGTCTACCCTACTGCTGTGTCCAGTTTCCATTGGCTGGAATAGGATCTCACATTTTACACTTTACCTGATTGGCTATTAGTTTAAAACTTTATTAATTAGGTAAGGAGAACAGAACAAAGAAAGAAAGGGAAGTTGCCCAGGGATAGTTAAGGGAGCATCTCCAAATAAGGAATGGCATGCACTATGGGCGGAGCTTGTCTAGTTCTGTCCAGGCATGCTGCAGCAAGCTAGGACAGCTGATTTGGAATACATATATTTGTACTAATAGTGGATAGCAATCTTATAGTAAGAAAGTGACTTTTTATAATCTTTGAAGAACTTTCCCATTTCTCACAAAAGTCACACTCAATAGTCTGAAACCTTTTTTTCCTAAGCAGCGCCACCCTCCTTAAAGTATCTATTCTCAACTCCATTACCCAGTTTCATGGTCAATATTTTATACACACAAAAATCACTGTGAGAATGGCCGTGCATAGATTCAAAGGGTCTGTGCCAATCTCTGAACACTTAAATCACTGCATACTTTCCAAGGAAAGGCTGCACCCTTGAGACAGCTTCTCCTACCTTCTGTTTGTGTGTTTATGTCGTAAGATAATGCATCACCAAGCACTCAAGTGGAATCCTGAGGATCATAAGGCAATCTGGTCCTCCTGTCCCTCACTGATCCCTGGGTGCACCCTCTGAAGTCCACAGCCTCCCACCCTAAAAATGGCATTTTACAAGTTGCTACATTGTGCAGTGCAGGAAGCAGGTCCAATAGGAACTCAAAGAAGGGAGGTACGGAGGACGTGAGGTCACAAGGAAAGCTCCACTGGTAAGATAAAGAGAGCAAAGGGCCAGGGGCAGTAGCTCACGCCTCGAATCCCAGCACTTTGGGAGGAGAGGCCAAGGTGGGAGGATCACTTGAGGCCAGGAATCCAAGAACAGCCAGGGCAACATAGTGAGACCTCATTTCTAGAAAATAAAATAAAATAAAATAAAACAACAAAGCAAAACAAAATAAAATAAAATAAATTAGCTAGGTGGAGTGGTGAGTGCCTATAGTCCCAGCTACTCAGGAGGCAGAAGCAGGGAGATCACTCAAGTACAAGAGTTCAAGGCTGCAGTGAGCTATGATCACACCACTGTTCTCCAGCCTGGGCTACTGAGTGAGATCCTGTCTTTTTTTTAAAAAAAAAAAAAAAGAAAGAAAAAGAAAGTAAATCTTAGCAGAATTTGGATAAGAAAACAAGTCACAATATATACGCGGTGGGGGTGGGCAGAAGGGGGATTTAAGGGGAAACAAAAGAGAGAAGGTCTTGAGGACAAAGATGCGCTCACTAGGGAGAAGATGCTGGGAAGAAGACGGAGCATGAAAGTTAGGTAAGAAGTAACCAGGTTATAAGCAGCTTCGAATATCAGGGTGAAGAGATGGGGCTTCATTTTTAGTATCCTACATCCTTATGGCTAGAAAGAACTGTAGAGGCCATCTCGTCCAATCACACCCAAAACCAAGCCAAGAGGCCACCCTACGGGGCTCAGGTGCCTCCCTGTCCCACTGTCCTTCTGACCTCAGCCTCTCCGGAACAGACCATCTCTCAGAGAGCTGCAGCCCTGCCTCCATCCACTGCAGTCTATCGTATACATCACTGGACTGAACTCATCACTGTCCCCTCTTGCTGTTCATTCACTGCCCTGGGAGGCATCAACAGACATGATCCAAGACAATCACAGGGTCAGGACCCACTCGAAGGTCTCAATGGATGTTCTCCTCCTTCTGTATCCAGAACCCCTTGCTTTTGAGGATGCTACGAGGAAACAATGGCTTGAGCCCAGAGAAATGAATGTTATAATGCTATCAGGAAACCTACTACTAAAAAACATCAGCTTGGATATTGTGAGAATTACAGTTTGGCACACTTCTGGGAGATAATGTAGAGGTTGAAACAAAATCACAGGTGGAGAACACGTCCTTGTCTGCGATGACTATAATCAGGACCCTCCCACACAATCAGCTTTTCACTTCACAGCCACACCACGGCCTCTAACTTTGCTCCCTGTAATAGTCTGACAACCTCGACATGGGGACAACACACAAGAATCTGGAAGAAAGGACTCACCTTTAGCTCTGCATCTTCACCGGATGCACATTATATTTTTATGTAAACGTGTTTATTGTCATTTTGGCCTTTCAACACCTTGGCATGAAACGTTTTTACTACATCGAGTGCAAAGTTGATTGCATAGTCATAGTTTTAGAAACCAAAAGGTAAGGCTAAAACCAGGACTGGATCAGTCTTTAAAAGGACTCTTCAGATCCTCAGATTCCCCTCCTGTCCTGAAGAAAGCCCAGAGGTTTGCTCTCTAAGAAGATTACTGCATACAGTGGAGTGGAGATTAAAGCACTTTAGAGAAAATAAGCCACTGAACAAAAGCTCCCGCCTCACCCAAGCTCAGCTCCCAGAATGCTGGCAGCTGGCCTCTGTCCCCACCAAACAAATACACACAGACATTTACAGCAGCTTTATTCACAACTGCCCAGACCCGGAAGCAACACAGTCCCCCAGTAGGTGAACAGGTAAACTGTGGTACATCTAGACAATGGACTAGTATCCAGTGCTAAAAAGAAATAAGCTATCAAGCCACTTAACTGTGCATTTCTAAGTGAATGAAGCCAATCTTGAAAGACTACATATTGTATGATTCCCATTATATGACCTTATAGAAAAGGTAAAACTATGAAGACGGTGAAAAGGTCAGTGGCAGCCAAAGATTGGAAGGAGAAGGGGAAGGGAGGGAAGAACAGGTGGAAAACAGGATTTGTATAGCAGTGAAACGATTCTGCAGGCCTCTATGATGGTGGATACATGTCATATATTTGTCAAAACCCACAGAATGTATAACATAAAGAGTGGACCCTAATGTAAACTAAGGGCTTTAGTTAATAATAATGTACCAATACTGGCTCATCAATTATAGCAAATGTACCGCTCATCAATACCAATATTGGCTTATCAATTATAACAAATGTACCACCCTAATTCAAGATGTTAATAATAGGGCAAATTGGGTTGGGGGTATATGAGAACTCCCTGTACTTTCCACTCAATTTTTCTCAAAACCGAAAACTGCTAGACTATGATAAAGTAAAAATAAGACAAAGTTATTAATTAGACACACACACAGTGAGCCATGACCACACTAGTACATACTAGAATGGCTAAAATTTAAAAGACCAACAACACCAAGGATTAATGAGCAACTAAAACTATCTTACATTACTGGAGGGAATGAAATGGTACAACCCCACTGGAAAACAGTTAAACACATATGTGCCAAATTACCCAGCAATTCCATTCGTAGATATTTACCTGAAAGAAATGAAAACATAGGTCTACACAAACACTTGAATACAAATGTTCATAACAGCTTTAACTTAATAGCCTGAAACTGGGAAAAACTCAGTTTTGTTTTGTTTTTTGTTTTTTGTTTTTTTTTGAGACAGAGTCTTGCTCTGTCGCCCAGGCTGGAGTGCAGTGGCACAATCTTGGTTCACTGCAACCTCTGCCTTCCAGGTTCAAGCGATTCCCCTGCCTCAGCCTCCTGAGTAGCCGGGATTACAGGTGTGCGCCACCACGCCTGGCTAAATTTTTTTGTATTTTTAGTAGAGAGGGGGTTTCACCATGTTAGCCAGGATGGTCTTGATCTCCTGACCTTGTGATCTGCCTGCCTCGGCCTCCCAAAATTTCGGACTACAGGCGTGAGCCACTGCACCTGGCCTTGTTTTTTTCTGTGTTCATCAACAGGTAAATGAATAAACACCTCGTGTTACATTTATGCAAAGGAATTTCATACATGCAGTGAAAAAGAACAATCCCAACAGCATGAATGAAGCTCAAAAACATTATGCTGAGTGAAAGATACAAAAAAAAATGTGCTCTATGATTCCATTTACATGAAGTCTAGAACAGACAAAAATAATATGTGGCCATACAAATCAGATGAGTGGTTGTACAGGACAGTGGGTAGAAAGAATTAACTAATAAGAGACATAAAGGAATGTTTTGAGGCTATGGAAAAATTCTATACCTTGACTGGGGTAATGATTATCTGCAAGTATATAACAGTCCAAAAATTCAGATAACTGTGTACTTTAAGTGGATATATTTTATTATATATAAATTATAACCCATATGCCAGGCGCAGTGGCTCACGCCTGTAATCCCAGCACTTTGGGAGGCAGAGGCGGGCAGATCACGAGGTCAGGGAGATCGCGACCATCCTGGCTAACATGGTGAAACCCCAACTCTACTAAAAAAATACAAAAAAATTAGCTGGGCGTGGTGGCAGGCACCTGTAGTCCCAGCTACTCGGGAAGCTGAGGCAGGAGAATGGTGTGAACCCGGGAGGCGGAGCTTGCAGTGAGCGGAGATCGAGCCACTGCACTCCAGTGTGGGCGACTGAGCAAGACTCTGTCTCAAAAAAAAAAAAAAAAAAAAATTATAGCCCATAAGAGGTCATTACAATGTTTACAAAGGTAATCAGTAACTACAAAGGAAAACAAAAGAGGTTCAAGCAAGAAAGTGTAATCAATATATCTTATGATTTTGCTGTGAACATTATTTATACAGTCATAATAATACACATGCTGATCTTTGATTTAACCAACACGTATTTGCGTGTGTCTGTGTGACTGGATAAATGAGCTAAATCCTCTAGTTAGTACAACATCAGTAGATGATGTTCTAAAACAGATGAATCAAGAAATAGTAGTAGAAATAAATTTTTAAGAAATTTAATGATAGGCTGGGTGCAGTGGCTCACACTTATAATCCCAGCACTTTGGGAGGCCGAGGCAGGCAGATCACCTGAGGTCAGGATTTCGAGGCCAGCCTGGCCAACATGGTGAAACCCTGTCTCTACTAAAAATACAAAAAATTAGCCAGATGTTGTGGCATGCATCTATAATCCTAGCTGCTTAGGAGGCTGAGGCAGAAGAATCGCTTGAACCTGAAAGGCAGAGATTACAGTGAGCCAAGATCATGCCACTGCACTCCAGCCTAGGAGACAGAATGAGACTCCATCTCAAAAAAAAAAAAAAAAGAAAGAAAGAAAATTGGTGAATACTAGAAGAAACAATGTAAAGAATTCAAAGTGAATCTCTTTGAGGAGACAGAATCAAAGAGCTGGGAAGGAACGGAGCAAAGAACTCTTTTTCATTGTAAGTCTAGCGACACTATTTGATTTTCAAAACTATGTATATTGATTTGATAAAAATAAAGTTAAAATTTAAATTAATGCAAAAGACTCACAAGAATGTTCATGTTATTAAATTGTTATTGTTAATGTTATTTGTATTGTTAAATGCAAAAAGATAGTTTTGGTGTCGTATGAGTATGACATAGCTTTCATTTAAAATAAAAGAAAACTAATCACATATGCATATGAATTATGAGTATAAAAAAAGACTGGTTAAAAACAAAATGTTAACATCAGACACCTCAGAGAAAAGGAATTAAAGATTACAGAGATGGTGCAGTAGATATAACTTTTGACATATGTATTTGTGTCATCTGACTTGTTATGATGAATATATATTAATGTTCCTATAAAATCAACAAAACAAGAAAAATCGAACCCAAGGGATTAAACTGGCTGTTTTCTACAGATCCTACAGGTCTAATATTATACAAGTGCATGGCTTTTGCCTCAGAAGTCTAGACTTCCAGATTTACTGTAATGTGACATTTATCCTAGACACGTTCAAATGTAATCTTCACGAATCTTTTAAAACTTCAAGTGAAGACGTGTAAGGAGTCTACTATAATCTGACTGACTGAATACACACATTAAAAAAGCAAGCCCTGCACAGATTTCCCTGAGGGTGGCTGGAACCAGAGAGCTGAGGCAAACCACACACCATTACACAGTAAGAAATGGGGCAGAGGGGCGGGGCGTGGGGGCTCATGCCTGTAATTCCAGCACTTTGGGAGGCGGAGGCGAGAGGATTGTTTGAGCCCAGGAGTTCGAGACCAGCCTGGGCAGCATACCCGTCTCTACAAAAATAAAAATAAAAATCAATCAGGCGTGGTGGTGCATGCCTGTAGTCCTAGCTACTCAGGAGGCTGAGGCAGGAGGATCACCTGAACCCAAGAGTTCAAGGTTACAGTGAGTTACGATAATCATGCCACTGCACTCCAGCCTGGATAACTGTTTCTTTACTTTTTTTTTTTTTTTTTTTTGTACATGGAGTTTCGCTCTTGTCACCAGGCTGGAGTGCAATGCTGTGATCTCCACTCACTGCAACCTCCGCCTCCCAGGTCCAAGCGATTCTCCTGCCTCAGCCTCCTAAGTAGCTGGGATTACAGGCATGCACCACCACGCCCAGTTCATTTTGTATTTTTAATAGAGACGGGGTTTTATCATGTTGGCCAGGCTGGTCTCGAACTCCTCACCTCAGGTGATCTGCCTGCCTTGGCCTCCCAAAGTGCTGGGATTACAGGCATGAGCCACCATGCCCAGCCAGGTAACTCTGTTTCGAAAGAAGAAGAAGAAAGGAGGAGGAGGAGGAGGAGGAGGAGGAAAGAGGAGGAAGGAGAAGGAGGAAGAGAAGGAGAAGGGGGAAGAAAGAAATGGGGCATAGGTATGAGAAGATTCTGTCAGCCAGGAAACCTGGGCCACCCATTGTGTGTAGGCATGGTCCTGGATACCCTACCTGCTGTGCCATTTAATTTTCACAACAACCGTAAAAGGAGTAAAATGAAGAAATGGAGGCTTAAAGGGGTTCAAGAGAAATGGGAAGCAAACATCACTATAGCTGAATTGGCCTCACCTGGATCAAAATGAAATGTATTTCTCTAAATGAGACAGGCTCCCCCGTAAAAAAAGGAAAGGAAGGAGGTTCACAGTAGCCAAGAGGTGTAACAGCTAAATGTCCGAGGGCAGATGAATGAAAGAAAATGTGGTAAACCGTGGACTACTATTTACCCTTACAAGAGAAGGAAATTCTGCAGGGTGACAACATGGATGAACCTTGAAGACATCATCTGAGTGAAATGGGCCGGTCACAAAAGGACAAATACTGCATGACTCCACTTACGCAGGGTATCTAAGATAATCCAGTTCACAGAATCCGAGAGTGGAGAGGTGGTTTTCAGGGACTTGACGGGAGGGAAATTAGGCAGTTACTTAATCAACATCATAAAGTTTTAGTTGCGCGAGATGAATAAGTTCTAGAGATCGGCCTTACAACATTGTACTGTAGTCAACAATAATGTATTGCACATCTAAAATTTTAATAGGGTAGATCTATTACAGGTTCTTACTGAAATAGACTAGAATAAGAAAATTTACACACACACACACACGCACACACTCTCATATGGGGATATACTCATGATACAGATCAAAATGCTAAGAATGATTTTTTTCTAAGACATTGGATTATGGTGATTCTTCGTCTTTTCCTTAATTGCAGTTTTTTGTTTTGTTTTGCTTTTTGAGACAGAGTCTCAATCTGTCACCCAGACTGGAGTGCAGTGGCAAGATCTCAGCTCACTGCAACCTCTGCCACCTGGGTTCAAGCAATTCTCCTGCCTCAGCCTCCCGAATAGCTGGGAGTACAGGTACACGCCACTATGCCTAGCTAATTTTTGTATTTTTAGTAGAGACGGGGTTTCACCATGTTGACCAGGCTGGTCTTGAACTGCTGACCTCAAGTGATCCACCTGCCTCTGCCTCCCAAGGTGCTGGGATTACAGGTGTGAGCCACCACACCCGGCCCTTAATTGCAATTTAAAAGGGTTTCTAAATAACATTTATTGCTTTTGCAAAATAAAGTAAAATGCTATTTTGGGGGGGAAAAAAAGGGAGCATGTATGTAAAATGTGTGTCACTCAGCCTAAGCTACCGGTAAAGGCCCAAATTCTCCAGGGCAACCATTTGTTTCATGATGCGGTTTCCCTAAGTTTGTTCCTCAGAATGTTATTTATTATTCCATGACAAAAGTTTTTGTGGTCCGATAAATGTGGAAAAAGTTGAGGGGGAAAAAGGAAGGAAGAGAGGGAGGGAGGAAGGGAGAAAGGAAAGAAGGAAGGGAGGAAGGAGGGAGGGAGAGAGGGAGGGAGGAAGGAAGGAAAGAAGGGAGGGAGGGAGGAAGGAAAGAAAGGAGGGAGGAAGGGAGGGAGGGAGGAAGGAGGGAAAGAAGGGAGGGAGGGAGGGAGGGAGGGAGGGAGGAAAGAAAGGAGGGAGGGAGGGAGGGACGGAGGGAGGGAGGAAGGAAAGAAAGGAGGGAGGAAGGAAGGGAGGGAGGAAGGAAAGAAAGGAGGGAGGAAGGAAGGGAGGAAGGGAGGGAGGGAGGGAGGGAGGAAAGAAAGGAGGGAGGGACGGAGGGACGGAGGGAGGGAGGAAGGAAAGAAAGGAGGGAGGAAGGAAGGGAGGAAGGGAGGGAGGAAGGAAAGAAGGAAGGGAGGGAGCGATGGAGGAAGGGAGGGAGGAAGGAAGGAAGGGAGGAAGGGAGGGAGGGAGGGAGGGAGGGAAGGGCGAAGGGAAGGGCAGATGGGAGAGATGAGATGACGGGACGGACGATTGGAGGGAGGGAAGGCAGTGACTCCCACCTTGGGCTCCTCATCTCTGAAGCAAGGCGCTTTACACCACAGTGCTTGTTCCCCACACAAGCCTTGACTGTTGTGGGCCGAGTTCTCTCCTGTTCTTTCAAACACGCTACTCACTCCTACATCCTCCCCTCTACTCAGGCTATTTCAGGAAGAAAAATTCCCCTTCTTCCCCAGCTTTTCAAAAGCTGGGAAGTTTTCTGACGAGCTTAGGTCTGACTGATGCCACCAAAGCCTCCCGGGCCGCTCCAGGGCAGCGTTTGTCTCCTTTCAGGGAGACCAAGAGCACATGGATTAAGGACAAGGACCTGGGTGCTAAACCATGGGGCTCAAAATCCAGCTGTCTGCCTCCACTTGCAAAAAGGAGTAGAAGTATGTTTCTCTATTCTTCCTAAGTATAACTGAAAACTCTGGACATTACACACACACACACACGTACACACACATCCCAAATGTAACATGATGCTGCCAGGTGGAGAGATGGGATTAGGGATCTTGGGATCCAAAGAAGAACCTGGCACTGAGACCCCTGAGTTTACTTTCTGCCTCCCGTATCCAAGATACAGAGCTGGAAAAGGTAACAATCCAGAAACACCAATGGGCTCAGACCAAAAACAGCCCCCCACAAAAGCCTACTTTCTCTCTAGCCCAGTGACCAGGGGAAGGCAGCCTAGCAAGACAAACTTGCAGACAACAACCGCTCAACTCCAGCCAAATCCTACAGGAACAAAATATGGCCCACCACCACCAGCAGCAAAGGCCAAGCAGGGGCCTAGGTGTCCACCTCACAAGGCTGTACCAAGGGGACCCCCACGCCTGGTGGTGTCAACCATGGTGGAGTCAAAGACGCCAAAGAGGAAACTGAGACTTTTGTCCCTAATGGCTAGTAACGAGGCCTAACCCCGCCACATGCAGTGGCTGTGGAGACACTGAGGAAGCCAGAATTCTACTCCCACTGCACAGTGGGAAGGAGCTCCCCGAGCAGGTGACCATGGAAGCCTAGTGGGAAACCTGGGTTTCACTCCACCTGGCAGTAACAAGGCAATACCCACTCCCTTCTTCTCCTGGAGCAGTGTCAGCAAAAGCCATCTAACATAGAAGGTTAACACCCAGGGTTTCACAAGATAATACAAGGAATGTACACACACACATACACACACACACAACTAGAACTAAAAAGTAAGTTCAGCAAGGTTGCAGGATACAAGAACAATTTGCAAAAGTCCACTGAAGTCCTGTATGCTAGCAATGAACATACGGACACCAATATTTAAAAAGCCATTTACAATCACTCAAAATAAAGAAAATGCTTAGGTATAAATCTAAGCAAACATTTATACCAATATTTAAAATGCCATTTACAATCATTGAAAATAAGGAAAATGCTTAGGTATAAATCTAAGCAAACATTTATACCAATATTTAAAATGCCATCTACAATCATTGAAAATAAAGAAAATGCTTAGGTATAAATCTAAGAAAACATTTATAGGACTTGCATAATGAAAACCACATAATGCTGATGAAAGAAGCCAAAGATCTAAATAAGTGGAGAGACATACTATATTCATGGATTCAAAGACTCAACATAGTAAAGATGCCAATTCTCACCAAGCTGACATACAGGTTTAGCACAATGCCTAACAAAAAATTTTTGTAGCCATGAGTGAGATTATTCTAAAATGTATATGAAAGGCAAAGGAACTAGAATATAGCTAAACAACTCTGAAAAACAACAGTGGGAGGAATAAGACTACTCGACCCATTATATAGCTACAGTAATCAGACAGTGTGGTACTGTTAGGGGGATAGACACACAGACTGATGGAACAGAATAGAGAACACAGAAATAAACCCATATGTCTAAGCCCAAATGAGTTTTGATAAAGATGCAAAAGCAATTCAGTGGAGAAAGACAGCCTCTTATATACACACATGGTGCTGGAACAACTGGGGCAACAGGCAAACCTGGAGTAACAGACAATAAAAGTAAACCTTTTCTTTTGTATAAATCTCACCCCTTATACAAAAATTAACTCAAAATGGGTCATGGAGTTTAACGTAGAAGTTGAAGTATAAAACTTACAGGAAAAAATAAGAGAGAACCTTTAGGATCTAAGGCAAGACAAAGAGTTCTTACAACTGAAACCAAAAGCATCCTGTATTTTTTCCAAAAAGAAAAATTGGACTTCATCAAAATTAGAAACTTTTGCTCTGTGAATGACCCCATCAAGAGGACAAAAGGACAAACTCAGAGGGGAAGAAAATATTTGCAAACCACATACCCCACAGGGGACGAATATTCAGACTATATAAAGAACTGTCAAAACTCAACAACAAAAAAAGTGAACAACCCAGATAGAACATGAGCAAAAGACATGAAGCGACATTTCACCAAAGAAGATAAACACATGGCAAGTAGGCCCATAGAAAGATGTACAACATTATTGGTCATTAGGGAAATGCAAATTAATATTCCAATAAGACACCACCACACACCTATGAGAATAGCTAAAATCACAAAATGACGGCAACGTCAGATCCTGGCGAGGATGCAGAGAAACGATCACTCACACATTACTGGTGGGAATGTAAAGTGACACAGCTACACGGTGCCAAACAGTTTCTTTACAAATGGAACATGCAACCACCATGCAACCTAGCAATTGAACTCCTGGCATTTATCCCAGAGAAATAAAAAGTTATGTTCACACAAAAACCTGTACATGGACGTTTATAGCAGCTTTATTTTTTTTTTTTTTTTTTTTTTTTTTTTTTTTGAGACGGAGTCTCGCTCTGTCGCCCAGGCCGGACTGCGGACTGCAGAGCTTTATTTTTTAATAGTCAAAAACTGGACACAAACTAGGTGTCCTTCAACTGGTGAATGGTTAAACAAAGTGGTACACTCAAACTGTGAAATACTTCTCAGTTATCAAATAGAACAACTACTGATACATACAACAACTTCGATAAATCTCCAGTGAAAGTTGAGTGAAAAAGAAGATCCCAAAAGGTTACATATTGTAAGATTCAATTTATATAACATTCTTGAAATGACAAAACCATAGAAATGGGGAAGAGACTACAGGTTACCTGAGGTTAGGCAGGGGGTGAGATCATGCAGGAGGGAAGTGGGTTTGCTACAAAAGAGCACCATGAGGAATTCCAGAAGCTTTTGTATCCTGCTTGTATCAATGTCAATATCCTGGTTGTAATACTGTACTACAGTTTTGTAAGATGTTACCATTTGGGGAAACTTGGTAAAGGGTACATGAGATCTCACTGTATATTATTTCTTATAATTGTATGTGAATCTACAACTATCTTGAAATTAAAATGTTAAAATTAAAATGTAATTTTTAATAATTTTAAAAATCCAAGTAGGGGATGGTAGCATACACCTATAATCCCAACACTTTGGGAGGCTGAAGCAGGAGGATCACTTGAGGCCAGCAATTCAAGACCAGTCTAGGCAACACAGTAAAACCCTTCCTCTACCAAAAATTCTAAAATTAGCCAGGCACGGTGGTGTACATTTGCAGTCCCAGCTACTCGGGCTGAGGCAGAAGAATTACTTGAGACCATCAGGCTGAGGCTGTAGTAAGCCATGATTGTACCACTGCACTCCAGCCTGGGCAACAGAGCAAGACCCCGTCTCAAAAAAAAAAAATCCAGCTCTATGTGAATTTGGTCATTATTCACCCTGTCTATGCCTTAGTTTCCTCAGGAGAAAAACAGGGATAACAGTAATGCCAGCTTTATGGGATTACTGTGAAATTGGAACAGTTTACTAGACATAAAGTACTTAAACTACTTAGCAGACAGCACTCAAATGCATTTACCATGATTATTTCAATCAGTAATTCAAAAGCATTTATTGAGCTCCTGCTACATGCAAAGATTCAATGGCTTCTTTAAAAACAGACATCTCAGGTAGTAGTACTGCATAGCACTGAGAGAGAGAGACTTTGGAGTAAGAGAAAACTGGGTTTAAACCTCAGCACTGCCACCATCTTTGCTGTGCATGCTTAGGCAATTTACTTAGCCACTCTGAACTGCCTTTTCTTTAACAGTAAAACAGAATTAATAATATACCTTCACAGGGTTATGCGTATTAAGAAGATATATGTCACTGATTGGTATATGACAAATAAACTGCAACTATTATTACTACTACCCATATATTCTCTTTTTGTTGCCTTCTTCCTACGCAAAGTTTAAACTTCTTGAGAAGAGTCTCTTTTTTTTTCCCATGAATCCCTCTAAATACCAAGCCTAATGTGATGAAAATAGAAAGTACTCAATTAATACTTAGTAAAAAATAAAATACTCTGGCAATGCTTAATGAAATTAAGTATTACCTGATACTTAAATGAAAAGTAACTGTATGCTTTCTTCTGAATATGAGGCTCCCAAAAAATCCCCCCACGAGTCTTTGAAGGGGCATGAACAAGGGTTTTCATCCATGATACTCTTTATGGACACACAAGTGCAAGACGGTTCAGTCATCCATCACCAGGGAGATGAAGATAAAATGGGGTAAAAGCAGCTATAAACAATGAACTAGAGAAAACAGAGTAAGTAGCACGGACAGATGTTAGAAAGAGCATGCATTGAAAGTGCGAAGCAACAGAATGAAATCTATTGAAGAATGCCATTCATGTAAATTAAAAATACAAACATTCACACACACATGCACACCACAAAATGAAAAAAAAAATTAGGAGGATGCCTGTGTATTCAAAGAGATTTAGCAAGTCCATTATAGTGGATATCTATGGAGGCAGGAATAGGAAATGAGGAAATGTTGAAGAGGAGAGAGAGACACAGAGCCCTGAATCGGCTGCTAATCATGAACCACTGGATCTAATTAAGTCACCTCTCAATACTAGATCCAAAACAAATGTGAATTAATACAAAATATGTAAATGATTACGTAAATAGTGACAGCATTCTACCCTGAACCTTACTGAGGAGGTAGCAATTAAAGAGATAATTCTGAAATGACAATGCAAAATCAGTACAGATAAACGGCTGTAATCCAATTGTTTGGCTATTTAATAAAATTAATGGTCTGAAGAGCATACCACTTCACGTTTCATTTGGAAAAAGTTCTATCAGGATTTCAAGGAGCTCACCAGTGGAAACCAGCATTTCAGTGACATGCTTTTTCTCCCCACCTCATTTATGTCTTTTGTGACTGTTCAATATTTTTATCACTGGTGAATCAGAGACATGCAATCTGGAGGAGAAAAAACTAACCCGGCAGGTATCTCAGCAACTAGAAAAACCGAAGGAAGGGCGTGCTCACCACTAGGGATGTTGACATTTGGTCCCAAGGCCAGAAAACAGATGCAGGTGGGACAGAAAATTACTTCTCTCCTCAAAGAGAAGAAACGGCTCCCCCGAAAGCAGAAAATACAAACTGCCTCGCCCTGGGGTGCGCTTATTTTCTGGCCATCATAGCCTGCATATCTGCCTACCACACAAGTGGCTTGTTCCCCTGCTCTGAGGAAAAGCTGCTGCTAATTTATTCTGGGAGCAAGAAGAGATGAATGGGGATATTTACCGTAAGTGACGCCAGAGTTAACACGGGGAATTTCTGGCTAGTGGAGTTATGAGTGTTCTTCCTCTTTTTGCTTATGTATTTTTCCTCATTTGTCTTCTAGGAATACACATTACTTTTCTTGTTGTGAAAAAATTACAACATTTTAAAATAAAATAACAGCACCAGTTAATCAGCTAGAGGGCTTAACAGTCACGATTCCTTTGGTGCACTAGTAATCTTACTGCAAAGCTTAAATGTTTTTGCAACTAATAACTTTCTTCCCAATTCTATCAGCTGCTTGCATCCTTGAGGAAAAAAAATCTACCACTCACCTTGCTTACGAGAAGTTCATGGTCAAGTGCTTAGTTGATTAGAACATGCCTTATTTTTGTGACTAGACAGGGATATTAAAAAGGCGATCCCCAAGCTACACTTCCAGTCACCACCACCCCTTCCCTACACCCCAAACACTTCACCGAATAAATGCCACTGAAGTGGGTGTCCGGTAATTCAACAGTTATAATGTATGGACTCAAGACAGAGACCACCTCGGTTCCCGCCCTGCCTCCTCTACTCTAGCTGGTGAGAAGATACTTGACCTCGGCCAGGCGCGGTGGCTCAGGCCTGTCATCTCAGCACTTTGGGAGGCCGAGGCGGGCGGATCACGAGGTCAGGAGATCGAGACCATCCTGGCTAACAAGGTGAAACCCCGTGTCTACTACAAATAGAAAAAATTAGCCGGGCTTAGTGGCGGGCGCCTGTAGTCCCAGCTACTCGGGAGGCTGAGGCAGGAGAATGGCGTGAACCCGGGAGGCGGAGCTTGCAGTGAGCCGAGATCACACCACTGCACCCCAGCCTGGGAGACAGAGCGAGACTCCGTCTCAAAAACAACAACAACAACAACAACAAAAAACAAACAAACAAAAAGATACTTGACCTCTCTGTCCTTTGGATTTTTCCGTAAAGGGTGGGTAAAAACAGTAGCTACTTAAGAGGTTGATTCGAGGATTTAATGCGCTAGTTCATGTAAAGGGTTTAGAACAGTCTGTCTCGCTGTAGCATCGATAAATGTTAGCTACTCCTATTACTGTCCAAGATAACCCGCTTTGTTATGCAATCAATTTTGAAACATTATATAAGACTAAAATATTCAAGCCTGCCCATACTTGGAAAACTAATTTTATTTCTTCCTATTTCCTTACCGTTAGCCATATTTTAAACACACATGTGCACACTCATATGAAACTACACACATATACATTCACACACGTACATTTATACACACACCTACATATACACACCCACATACACACACGCTCACACCTATACACACCAATACACGCACAAACACGCCTATCATAAACCAACACGTGCACTCACACACCCACACACACAGCAACACACATGCACACCCACAAACACACCTATACAGACACAACACACATGCACACATACACACCTATGCGCACACCAACACACTTGCAAACACACATACACACACCTATACACACACCAGCACATGCTCTCACTTATGCATACACTTATACACATACATGCATACACACCTACACCTATACACACACGAACGCACACATATACCTATACACACGCACACAACACATACCTACACACTACACACATGCACTTACACACACCTACGCACACAACTATACACACCCCCACACACATGCACACTCACACCTACACATCTATAGACACCTACAAACCACACACACCTATACACAAATACACTTTCAAATAAACACATACCTGTACAAACACGTGCACTCACACTACACATACGTATACATACTTGCAAACACAATACACACCTACACACACGCACACACACGATATACACACATAACTACACATGTACACATGCACACACACCGATATACACACACATAACTATACATGTACACATGCACACACCTACACACGTGCACACACTCACACCTACACACACACATGCACACACTCACACACTCAGACTCCCTAAGTTCCATTTCCAAAGAAGGGCAAAGAATTTGAACAACTTCCTTCCAGAACCTATACTTGAGTAAATTAATTACTCCAATATATTTTCTTATTTAGATGGAAATGGAATATAAAATGCAACAAATCTTAATCGAGGGTCAAAAATAGTGAATTCCTCTTGCTGAAAGCTACCAATGGCTCCCAATCACCTGAGGGACCTGGGTCTTCCTTCCTAGGGGTGGCCCAGGAGGCCCCCTCACCTAACTCCACCAATTCTGCCTCCTCTCGCCCATCCTCCGGTCCCAGAGACTCCCTGCTCAGGAACCCTTTGGGGCTCTCAGGCGTTCTGCCTGCCATTCCTCCTCAGAATGGATTATCAGTCCTCCAGCTCCCAGCCCCTTCCAACCCTGTAAACCCATCTCCAACGTTATCTTCACTGAGAAGCCCCAGGTCCAGGCACCTGCTGAGTTGATTAGCTGGTAATGTGCTTGCTGGGCCACACTGGGTTATAATTTGAACACACACTTCTAAGGATGGCGACTTGGGGCTGATTACTCCATGTCGGCAGTTTCTAACACAATAGCTGGTATGGCTGGTACTCAAAGAATCAGAGGATATGAGACACATCCGATTCCCAGTATAACAACAGCTGGTAGCCCTAGAGCACATGGTGAATAAGCCTTGTGGAGGGTGAGGGTGCACCCTAGTAACCAGATATCCTGGAGTAGGTGGGGTGGAGGTTTCCAAGGGCTTATCAAGGCCTCTCAACCCGGACTTAGTCAAAATTTAAAAAGAAGCTAGAATATAAAGTCAGCAAGAAAGGCAAAAGTTATTACACAGTCATCAAAATTTCCCTCGAAAATTATTTCAATTGCCCATTCAAGTATGGAGCACATATTTCTGTGTATTCAACCCTATAAAGTGAATACGTATTTAGCACTTTGTAATATATAAAACTATGGCTATTACAATATGCGGAACACATGCAAAATATAACCGTACTCTATTTTAACTTCATAAGAGAGATGCATATGGTTGCATTTGCTTAAATGTGTATATAGTGTCAATCCACAGTTGCCTATTTTTGTCAGCAATCTGGATTACATGTGCACACAACAACAACAAAGCTAGGGCATAATGACAACACCAAGTGAACACTTGCTACACGGTAGTGTGTGTGTGAAGGGCTTCCAAGTATTTATTAATTCAATCCTCACAACTCAAGGAGGGAACTCCTGTTGCCATGCCCATTTTGGAGATAAGGAAACCGAGACTCAGAGAGGTCCAGTGCTCTAGGTGACAGGAGCTACAAAGCAGAAAATCTGGTGTGAGAATCAAGGCAGTCTGGCTCTTTTAACATCACCCTATCCTACCTGTCTTGGGTTAAAAAATAATAATTAAGGAGAAAAGCAGAGTATGGGGCAGCTGTAAGTTAATAAGGATTGTGTGATGGGGGTGATGACCAGAACATGGTATTATTACACAGCCTCTGCCGTCAGACTCCCGCACTTACAGGCCAAGTCACTTTCTCTTCTCTACCTCTCAGTTTTCTTCCCTGTACAATCGGGATATTATTGCTTACCTTGAAGAAAAAACACACAACTCAACCGTACCCAGAACTCTGTGATGTTTCTGCCCCTACAAAAGGAAATGTAATCCTAGGCCGGGTGCGGCGGCTCATGCCTGTAATCCCAGACCTTTAGGAGGCCAAGGCAGGTGGATCGTGAGGTCAGGAGTGCGAGACCAGCCTGGCCAACATAGTGAAACCCCGTCTCTACTAAAAATACAAAAAATGAGCCAGGCATGGTGTCAGACGCCTGTAATCCCAGCTACTCAGAAGGCTGAGGCAGGAGAATCACCTGCACCCCCGGAGGTGGAGGTTGCAAATTGGTAGATATCGGCAAGCAAATTGGTAGATACCGACTCTCAACCACTGTATGGACAAAGTGTTGAAATGGGTTCCAAAGTTCTAAAACAGAAAAAGTTTGTAGTTTACAAGGCTGCTTCACATACTTTAGATGACAGAAATGCAATCAGGCTTTTCAATAACACTGGCCTATTTTTTTTCTTAATGGCTTGTCACAGTCTCGTGTAATGCCACAGGCTGTGATATTACCACTAGCGTGCTGCTGCAGTGAGCAAGAGCTGCCCGTTATAGGGAGCCATCTATCACGCTTAGGTGCCAATTTAGAAGGTGGAAATTCTGGATATGCATTCCTAAACTTCTGTTTGTGGAAAAGAGCTTTCTTTTTTTAAAAGTTTCCTGGAGCCTTGAGATTGCTAGAAGAAGAGCTTAAGGATGCTATAAATTGAGTTCTTGGACAAGACTGGAGTTAATTAGCCCTCAACTGTAGGGAAAAGTGAAGGTTCAATCTTTGGCTTCAACTACCTTTATTCCTGCCAATGATCGAGGGACAGAGGCACCACCCCAAACACCATCTAGTCAGGTCTTGAGAAAGAGATGCGGACACTCATTCTATTAACAATCATATTCCTTAAAGATACACTGTCCAAAAATGGATCCCTATCATGTATTTGCTTTACAAGACCACGTGCCAAGACTACATCAATTTGAGGGATTTTAAAAAATGCAACAATACTAACAACAAAAGGTATTACAATTTTATGCTGTCACCAAAATCATGGAACTTTCAGGTCTCTAGGTGTTTTGAAAAACATATGGTTCCAGCTGTTCATTATATAGATGATGACACACCTGCTCAAAGAAGAAGACTGACCTGTCCAAGCTGCACCCAGAGAGGAATATGCGACCTCCACGCCCATCCAGGACCCACTTTCTCTCTTTGCAAAGGTCTTCTTCCTCTACTAGGAACAACCGGGGAAAATCCAACTGACTCTTGCTCTGATCCTGTCAACTTCCTGGTACATCCAGGACACCATTAAACCCACAGTATTAAAACCCAACCTGAGGCCACCAGGCATGGTGGTTCATGCCTTAATCCCCACTACTTGGGAGGCTGAGGCAGGAAGATTTCTTAAGCCCAGGAGTTTGAGGATGCAGTGAGTTATGATCGTGCCACTGCACTCCAGCCTGGGCAAGAGATAGGGACCCTGTCTCAAAAAAAAAAAAAAAAAAAAGTAATTAATTAATTAAAGCCCAATTTGGGACAACAGATGTGTAAACATGCCTGAGAATATGAAACCTTCCCTCTCCCTCCGAAGTTATTTTTGTGCTTCCACGAAGTCTCTCTACAACCCTTGAAGGTGCCTTGTAGACCTTTGTTCCAGGCTGGAGTTTTGGAAGTGGAAGCTCCATGAAGCAACCCACAGCAGCTTTCCCTTAAGGTCCCAGAGAAAGAGAGGACAGAAAGCAAATGTCTCATTTCTCTTCTCACAGAGCACTGGAGAGCCAGGGAGGAGCATCCTAAGAGGGAGTGCTTTTTAGTTTATCTACCGTGTCCAGCAAGTTCCCTTTTTATTAGCCCCTTAATGGACTGGCCTCAGAAATGAAATGCTTCATGAAGTGGAGAAATAAGGCATTAGCAGGATAACCTGGGGCAAAAAGAAAACTCGAATGACATTCTGGGCTGGGCGCGGTGGCTCACGCCTGTAATCCCAGCACTTTGGGAGGCCGAGGCGGGTAGATCGCCTGAGGTCAGGAGTTCCAGACCAGCCTGGCCAACACGGTGAAACCCTATCTCTACTAAAAATACAAAAAATTAGCTGGGCGTGGTGGCACGTGTCTGTAATCTCAGCTACTCGGGAGGCTGAGGCAGGAGAATTGCTTGAACCCGGGAGGGGGAGGTTGCAGTGAGCCGAGATTGCGCCACTGCACTCCAGCCTGGGAGACAGAGTAAGACTCTGTCTCAAAAAAAAAAAAAAAAAAAAAGGCATTCTGAAACATTCAGGGAACTGGGGGTACAGAGAGGACAGGTTTCATTCAGTGGGCAGGCAGGTACCACACAGCAGAGCTCCTCCCAACCAGAGATGTCTTCTCAGGCCCAGGCGGAGCTTCCTCACCTGGAAGCAGACCTGGAGCTGGAAAATGTCTGGATTCGTCCCCAGAAACCAAAGAAACCAGGCGAGGGTAGAGGAGCTGCAGGAGCGGGAACGTCAGAATGTCAGCACGGAAGGGGGCACTTCGAGGCTCTAGGATGGCCTCTGTTGCGTCCCTTCCTTCCAGGGATGGGCACAGGGCCTGCGTTTAGTGGAGGTGGAGTCTTCCGGGTTGCCTGCACTTTGATGGGGTCCCCAGGTCCAGGGTCTCATTCTCAGCTCTGGGACTCACCAGGCAGGAACCAGCAGAAGGTGGTGATTAGGAAACAGACTGCAGAACCCCAAAGGCCTACATTCAGAACCTGGTTCTGACACTCTCTTATGTGACCTTGGACAAAGCACTAAATATCTCTGTGCCTCAGTTTCTTCATCAATAAAACAGACAGCTCAAGGGTTTGTTACTTGGTTGAATACATAAAGTACTCCTAAGAGTGCCTAGTATATACTGAGGGCTATGTAAGTGTTTGCTGCTATTACCTGTTCCCTTAAGGGGTTATCGGGTCTCCAATCCTGTTAACTAAACTCACAGAACACTGATGTATTAGCCAGGAAGTCAATGCATACATAATCTTGAATAGAAACCTTTCACCAACAATAAGACAGGGAAAGTCAGGTTAGGCTGGAAAGCATATGCATTTTCATTCAAGTAAGGGAAGTCTACTTGAGAGGCCAGATTAAGACCAAAAGGTTGCTTTTTGAGCCTAAAGTCAGATCACACATCTGGGTGGCCCAGAGATGAAAAGTCACCTTCCACTGTGAAGACCGTCCCTGACAAGTGGACCTGAGCACTTGTCTCAGTTGGTGAGGACATCTTCTGCCTTGAACTGTGGTAGTGATAAACCCCACAAGGCTCTATGCTCAAACCCTTCTGTTCTGTTCTTGACATCCCATTATACACTTACTGCTGGGCAAAGTGGATGTAAGCTTCTTCACGGTAACATGGTGGGTTTTTCTGAGAGGCAGATGGAAGCAGATACATCTGCTGAGAAGGGGGAGGAGACAGCACCATAGTATCAGAATGTGCCCAGAGAAAGGAGGGGAGGGACAAATCTCGGCGTTGAGATGCAGCAGAGGACAGCAGATATATTACCACACTGTTTAAATGAATGATACAGAAAGCTTACAAACTGGAAACATCAAGCTACCTGCCCATCTCTGCCTTGTCACCTGGCCATCACCATGACTCCGGAGATCAGGCTGTTTCAGGCATGCTCTGGAGACAGCTGGAACCACATGGTCTATGAACATCCCTTCCTAATCTGGATTCAATGACTTCAGTTGGTGGCTTTAAATTAGTCACATAGAAAGTCTTTACACCATGGAAATGGGTAAAAGCTACAGATCAGGACCTCTTCTTCCTCCCAACACTGCCCCAAGAGCCCGTTGTTAAACGTTTACCAGCACACTACTGGGCTGTTTCTCTACCACTTGATTGAAATGATCCTTATGGAAGCACAAATGACTTCACTGTCACTAAATCCAAGGGACAATTTTTAGTCTCTATTTTTCTTCAACTCTCCAGGATGTTTGAGAGCTGATCTTTCCCTCCCTCTTGAGCCTCCTCTCCTGCCTGGCTTTTAGGGGTCTCTGCTGACTTTTCTTCATTTCTAAACACATGTTCTCAGGGGTCCTCAGCCTGCAGGCCATGCACTGGTACCAGTCTGTGGCCTGTTAGAAACCAGGCTGCACAGCAAGAGGGGGGCAGCAAGTGAGCAAAGCCTCATCTGTATTTATAGCCGCTCCCCATCACCCGCATCACCGCCTGAGCTCCACCTCCTGTCAGATCAGTGGTGGCATTAGATTCTCATGGGAGTATGAACCCTATTGTGAACTGCGCATGCGAGGGATCTGGGTTCCACGCTCCTTTTGAGAATCTAACGCCTGATGATCTGTCACTGTCTCCCATCATCCCCAGATGGGACTGTCCAGTTGCAGGAAAACAAGCTCAGGGCTGCCACTGGCTCTACATTATGATAAGTGGTAGAATTATTTTATTATGTATTCCAATGTAATAATAATAGAAATAAAGTGCACAATAAATATAATGTGCTGGAATCATCTCGAAACCATTTCCCCCACCCCGTCTCCATGGAAAAACTGTCATCCACAAAACTGGTCCTGGTGCCCAAAAGATTGGGGAGCGATGCTCTACACAGTCCCCTTCCCCCAACAGGCCCTGAAATGTTCGTGTTCCTCACAGCTCTCTTTGGTCACTGAATGTGTCCTTTAAGACAAGGCTGGGTCATGACTTCCTCCAGGAAGCCCTCCCTGACCCACACGGTCTGGGTAATGCCCGTTTTTACAGTACCCTTTATCTCCATCACAGTTGAGTGTCTATGCACATGCATGGCCCCTTGGCAGGAAGACCAGAACCTGGAAGGCAAGAAGTTGGAATTACAGCAACAATAAGCAAAACAATAGTGACAAACAGCTGCTACTGGCATGCATCATCTGCCCGGCACCATTCCAAGAGCTTTCAATAGATTATTCTATTTACTCCTGCACCACTCCTGTGATTTCTCCCACAAGACTCCCGACACTGGTAGGGCTGAAATAACTTGCCCACGTTTACACAGACCAACATGAATGCCGAAGGGCCAACATACTTAACCATTTTCTACAATGCCCTTTCTAGTTTGTGTATCTCCAGAACTCAATCTAACATGTTTGAAGTAAAAAGCAAAGATAGAAGAGACGCGGGATTTTATAAAACTTGATATTCTGCAGATTCAATACAAGTTCTTGTTTATCATATTCAGTGAAGAAATAAGATAGTTCCTAATTCCAGTTGACTTTAAACATCTTGCTCATCTGTAGTGGTGGCTCTTTGCAGATGCCATTTGTTGTAGAACACAGCCTCTGGTTCCCTCCTGCCAGTGCCTGAGTGACAAATATTAATGCATCATGGAAGAAGAAAAGCTGTTACTTAAAAGCTGACAGTCTGAAATCTCTCCACACATAGCTAAACACTTTAAACCACATAAATATGTTTGTTCTTTTTTTGAGACAGAGTTTCACTCTTGTTGCCCAGGCTGGATTATAATGGCACAATCTCGGCTCACTGTAACCTCCGCCTCCCAGGTTCAAGTGATTCTCTTGCCTCAGCCTACCGAGTAGCAGAGATTACAGGTGTGCGCTACCATGCCTGCTAATTTTTGTATTTTTAATAGAGATGGGGTTCCGCCATGTTGGCCAGGCTGGTCTCAAACTCATGACCTCAAGTGATCCACCCACCTTGGCCTCCCAAAGTGCTGGGATTACAGGCGCGAGCCACCATGCCTGGCCTAAACCATGTAAATATGTTAATAGTTCCCTTCATGTCTGTACATTTTCTTTGATGAATCTGTTTTTATTAAATCTCACTTTCCCAAAAATATAAAAATAGTAAGTACCCTCTGGATTTGAGCTCCTGTTTTCTTTTCTTTCTGTCTGTCTTTCTTTCTTTACTTATTTATTATTAAAGAGACAGGTCTCCCTCTGTCACCTAGGCTGGAGCGCAGTAATGTGATCACAGCTCACTGCAGCCTCCCCCTCCCAGGCTCAAGTGCTCCTCCTGCCTCAGCCTCCCAAGTATCTGGGACTACAGGTGCTTGCCACCACACTTGGCTAAATTTTGTACGTCTTGTAGAGATAAGGTTTTACCATGTTGCTTAGGCTGGTCTGGAACTCCTAATCTCAAGTGATCCTCCCACTGCGGCCTCCCAGAGTGCTGGGATTACAAGTGTGATCCACTGCACCAGGTGCCCTATTAGTTCTAAAATCAAAAGCATCTTCGCATCTGGGTAGGAAAGTTCCAGGATACATTTGAACCATCTTCAAAGTTGTTACTTGTTTTAGATCCTCAGGGCAATTAAAGGGTGCAGGAACTCCTGGAAGGTTTATGCTTCTGCCTCTTCAGCAGACAGACACGGGACCCGCTCAGGGATGCGAACAGTGCAGGAAGATGTTATTGGAAAATGAACACCTCACTAAACGGCCTAGGTGGTTTTCTGAATGTCTCTCCCTAGAACCCACAACACCTCTCATGACAAATTTATCCTTTACAGCGATGCTTTCAGATACTTTACTAGGAGGTTCTCATACAGCAAACCCTGGATTAGCCTCACTAATGCACAGAATGAGACATGCAGATGATAAATTTCTACTTGGCTTTAAAGCCCAGTTGGAAAGGCAGGAAAGAAGAAAGGGAGGGAGGCCGGAAGGGAAAGAAGCATAAATGGGCATTCACTCCACTGGCAGGTGGCTGCACGTATGGACGAGAGAGATGGAACTGGGCTTAAATTATCTGTTACTTCTGGGCCAGGCGCGGTGGCTCATGCTATAATCCCAGCACTTTGGGAGGCCGAGGTGGGTGGATCACGAGGTCAAGAGATTGAGACCATCCTGGCCAACATGGTGAAACCCCGTCTCTACTAAAAATACAAAAATTAGCGGGGTATGGTGGTGGACGCCTGTATTCCCAGCTACTAGGGAGGCTGAGGCAGGAGAATCACTTGAACCCAGGAGGCGGAGGTTGCAGTGAGCTGAGACTGCGCCACGGCACTCCAGCCCGGTGACAGAGCGAGACTCCATCTCCAAAAAAAAGAAAAAAAAAATTATCTGTCACTTCCTTGCTGGAGAACACAGGCAAGACAAGCCTCAGGTTTCTCATCTACACTTTGCGAATGATAATATCCAATCCCCAGCAATCTCCGAGTGATTAAAGGGCACATACAGACTTCAGAGTTGGGCGTGGTGCCCGAGACGCCACAGGGATCAACGCATGAGAGCCCTGATTATACATACGGCAGGAGAGAAATGAGCACGTGCAACCCCTGGTTCTAGGCATGGGGCAAAGGGAGACTCCACAGAGGAGGATGTTTCAAATGTCCTTCCCAAACCATCAGGAAACCACGAGTTAAAATCCAGCCATCCATTCTGAGCCCTGCCCAGGGAGGGCCGTCCGTGGTTCCTACAACTATCAGGCAGATCTCAGAGCCCAAGCCCCATCGACTGATTTTTGCCATCTTAAGAACATCAGTACCAGCTCAGCCAAATGGGTTAGGCGGAAGTAGGCAGGTCAGGACAGTGGAGGAAACGTGCGTGACCGACTCTGTGCCGGGGTCGCCTGGCATCCCTGTCTCTGACTCCTGAACTGTCTGTCCCTAGTAGGTGCTGTGTGTGAGGGGCCCATGGGGCAGAGCAGAAAGTGATGCCCGATTCAGAGGCCCCGCGCTCCCTCCCCTGTGGTCCCTGAGCAGCCGCGGCTCACAGGAGGATGACGGCACCTGCGTTGTTAACTCAAAGGAAACGGTTATTCTGGCTGCTTTCAACTCCAAGCGGCGTGGCTGTGAAGCAAGCATGAGGAAGGGGCTTGCAGTTTTGCCTTTTCTCCGACCTCGATCTGACGATGTGCCCTAGAAGTCAGGCCTACGATGACCTTTGCAATGCTTCTCTCACGGCCAAATTCTGCCCCGTGGCTCCCAGCCCCCTCCACCCCAGAACATGCCCCACAGATCATCTGAGCAGCTGCTGGCACTAACCCCATCCATCCGGGGCAACAGGCTCCACAGGCCCCGGGGAGAGGCTGAGCTGTTTACTTTTGGTTTCTCAATAACTCCTGTTTCCGAGGGCTCTCTGCCAAAGGGAGAGAGAGGGAAGTGGCATCCCATGGCCCTGTCCAAGGACAGCCCAGGGCTGAGGCAGAGCTGGGCAATGCGGCAGTGTTTTCTGGGGCTGCCAGTGGCACCGCAGCCCCCAGGGCTCCCCTCCTTCCTCCCCAACTGTCACCTGCTCACTCCTGAGAAGTGTTTTGTATCATCTCTCTGAAGTGAGTGGGCACAAACTGTACTGCAGAAGTTCTGCTTGGATCACAGAGAAGAGGGTGGCGAAGAGCCACCGAGGGTCAGAGTGGGCCCCTGAGTGGCCTGGAATCACCAGGTGCTGGGCAGGGGTGGGCAGCCAGGGCTAAATGCTTTTGGAAGATGGCACGGATGCAAATACTATCTGCCACAGTAGTGAAGTTCTGGCCAAGGGGTGTATATATGTGTGTCTGTCTCTCTCTTTGACACACATACACACACACACACACACACACACACACACTTGAATGGTTTCTATCCACCATCACACTATATATTAGAAGCCATATGGTTCACAGGGAGGTGCCCTGACCTAGGAGCCAGACCTTCCTAGCCTCATGGCCTTCATGGAGCCAGGCCTGTTATTTTCTCTGTAAAATAAAAGTACTGCACTGGTACCCGGCACGGTGGCTCATGCCTCTAATCCCAGCACTTTGGGAGGCCGAGGCAGGCAGATACAAGGTCAGGAGATCGAGACCATCCTGTATAACATGGTGAAACCCCGTCTCTACTAAAGATACAAAAAATTAACCAGGAGTGGTGGCAGGTGCCTGTAGTCCCAGCTACTCAGGAGGCTGATGCAGGAGAATCACTTGAACCCAGGAGGCAGAGGTTGCAGTGAGTTGAGATTGCGCCATTGCACTCCAGCCTGGGCGACAGAGTGAGACTCCATCTCAAAAAAAAAAAAGAAAAAAAAGGATTGCATTGGATCTGCATTTCCCAAAGTGAGGTTCCATGGCACACTAGTCTCCAGGAAAAGGGTGCTTTGGTCAACTAAGTTTAAAGATGCTTCATACTACCCAAGTAGTCACTCCTTCCTTCTATTTTGGGAGCTCCTGGCACCTACAGGGAATCATATACCTTAGACACATGACAGATGATGGATATACATTCCAAAGTCAACTGGAACCTGAAACATTTGAAGCAACTCCCTAGAAATGCTCAAAATATCACTTGCAGGTGGTAAATTAATACTATTCTTGGGAATGAGTCCATTGGAGATAATTAAAAGTGGCCCTCAAGTTTCTGAGACTCTGAATAGCATCAAGTAAGTACTTCTGGAAAGTTCTCCAGAGAAGCCAAGCACCCTGATGGCGTCTCGGGTGAGGCAAAAGTTCAGCTTCCCAAGGGCCAACACGGCCAAACACTTCTGCTAAGAAGTCAGATTCACTGTATTTTTTCCCTGTTTATCTGATTCCTTATTAACGCCTGTCAGCTTCAAAGACGCTGGCACTTGTACCACTCCCTATTCCCAACTTCCACCATCCTTGGAATTTGTACCTGAATTGTTTGCGCAACCCCCATCTCCCTGCATTGCCTGTGTTCTATGACATTCGTTCACAATGAACGATGATTCTGTACCAGGCACAGGCTTGGTTGGGTGCTAAGAATTACAGAGATACATAAGAACGGGTCCCAGGCCTCCAGAGGCTCACTTCTGTCTGAGATGCAGACAGATAAGTATTTATGATGGGGGGTGACAGGAGCGATCCCAGTATGACAGAGGAACTTAACTACTATCGGAGTCCAGAGAAGGCACAGGCCAGCCCTGCCTAGGGATATGGCCACTGGCACGGTGGCTGGCTATGAAGCAGGCATGCATTTTTCAGGTAGATAAGGGCTTCCTCAGCTTAGGCAGGTGCTGCAAACTCCCAGAGACCTCTGGGTACACAGCGTTTCTAAGGAATGGTAAGATGTAATAAGTCACAGCCAGAGTGTGACAGGTGTGTTCCAGGGCTGGAGATGGGGGAAAGATGAAACAGCAAAGATCACTTCAGGCCCCTTCATGACTGGTTGGAGATGTGATGTTAAGGAGCTTGTTCCTTATCCTGGAGAAGAAGCAAGGGAAGCAAAGAGTTGTACTAAGGGAGGTGTGTGACTGGGGGAATGGGTCAAGCGGGAAAGAGGGGAGAATGATCCCCAGCGGGTGCTAATCCAGCCGCGGGCTGACTGCCTTCTGCACCCTTCTCATGGCTGTCCTGGAGCCGTGTTCTCAACCCGAGGTCCCACTCCATCGAATAGCACAGGATGGACTGGAGGAAGGCAGGTGAGAAGGCCAGGTAAGGACCTATTACAACAGCAGAAGTAAAAGGTGACAGTGGTCATGGGTTCTGGAGAGGTAATGACACACAAGTCACATTTCAGAGGCTGAAGCCATATGATATAATGATCAAGGACAGGCGTGCACGGGTCAGGGTGGGAGGCGGGGTTGACCTGGAAGGAGGTCCAGGTTCCTGGCTTCAGGCACTGCGCAACTGGTGTCCCAGCAGGACGCAGCAGGCAGAGCCAGTCTGGGCGGGGAGGAGGAATCCGGAATGCGGACATGCTGAGCTTGAGGTCACTGTAGGAAATGTATTAGGAAACATCAACAAGCAGTTAGAGGCCAGGCGCGGTGGCTCATGCCTGTAATCCCAGCACTTTGGGAGGTGGATCATCTGAAGTCGTAAGTTCAAGACCAGCCTGGCCAACATGGCGAAACCCCATCTTTACCAAAAATATAAAAATTAGCCGGGTGCAGTGACGCGTGCCTGTAATCCCAGCTATTCAGATGGCTGAGGCAGGAGAATCACTTGAACTCGGGAGGCAGAGGTTGCTGTGAGCCAAGATCGCACCACTATACTCCAGCTTGGGAGCAACAGGGCGAGACTCTGTCTCAAAATAATAATAATAATAATAATAATAATAACAAGCAGTTAGAAAGACATGTGATGCTTATGGGAGTCACTGTGGGTCCAGATCCACCACCGGTCTTTGCTCAGACGTCCTCAACTTCCCCTTCCCACACAGACAGAGGCGGAGTGTGTAGGCAGAGCGGCCTCCATGCGTCTCTGCAGGCCCAGTGCCATTACGGACCTGAAACAATGCAGGTCCTCCCCAAACAAACATTTCCTAAGTGCTCAAAGAACAGCCATCGCCTTTTATGCTGACATATTTAAATAGAGGCACTTCTGGTGTGCCAGGAATTCACAGCAGATAAAATGGATCTGCTGCCCAGGAGGGGTGAAGCTGCCCACTCTCTTCTCTAATTCAGAATGCTCCCACACCCTGTGCTCTGTCCCAAATGGCACCTGCTCCTACAAATATAGCTCCTGTCACCCAGGAATCTTTCTTTCATCAGGTTGTTTGCATCTTTTCAGGGTTGGAAAAGTCATCGGTGAGAGATTTCCTGCTATCTGTAGACCACCTATGAACATGAAATGAGAGACTGTGAGTGGGGATCGGGTGCTGTGGCTCACACTTGTCATCCCAGCACTTTGGGAGGCTGAAGTAGGGGGATCACTTGAGGCCAGGAGTTTGAGACCAGGTCTGGGCAATATAGTGAGACCCTGTCTCTACAAAAATGAATAAACAGATAAAATAAAAGATTGTGAGTAGAGATATAAAATGAGTTTATACAGGGCTTTCCTGAATTACTTTCCTGTAATCAAACTTTGCCTCAGATAGACGCAGCAGTGGTTTTATAAGACCATAGTTCTTCGGGGAGTATGAGGAAGGCAAACAGAACCACTGGGGGAGATGCTTCAAATCATAAGACAGGCATTCCCCTTGTTCTGGAACATTCTGAAGTCCCATCTACTATGAGTGGTTCCAGAATGGGCCCCCTGCCACAGGATCCCTTGCCCTGGGCAGGACACACAGGTAGAGGGGGCTTCTTCCTGTTTCCTCCTAAGAGCTCAGCTGCCTTGTCCACAGGTACCTAATGCACACCAGCTGAGCTGAAACGAGCTACCGAGGCTAAGACGATTCTGCAGGGGAGAAGAAAGCCCTGCTGATGGCTTGCCACTGTGTTTAGAATTTGTCTCTTTAAGAAATGAACTGAGGCTGGGCACGATGGCTCATGTCTGTAATCCCAACACTTTGGGAGGCCGAGGCGGGCGGATCACGAAGTCAGGAGTTCAAGACCAGCCTGGCCAACCAGGTGAAACCCCGTCTCTACTAAAAATACAAAAACCAGCCAGACGTGGTGGCGGGTGCCTGTAATCCCAGCTACTCAGGAGGCTGAGACGGGAGAATCACTTGAACCTGAGAGGCAGAGGTTGCAGTGAGCCGAAATTTTGCCATTGCACTCCAGCCTGGACAATAGAGCAAGACTCTGTCTCAAAAAACAAAAAAGAAGAAATGACTTGAGACTCTCACATAAGTCTGTGGCAGACTTATACGAGGTGCTGTGGCAGGCCACACACGTGCCAGGTCACAGGAACTAGAGAGCTCAGGTCATGTGTTTTCATGTCATATGTCTATCTTCACATAAGATACAGGCAAGACTGAGTGAAACCAAATTTATCATGCAATGAAAACTTGCTCACATTATTTACAGGACATGGAATGCTTGTAAATAAAAGCTCACACCAAAAAGACTTAATCTCTGAGCAAAAAAAAAAAAAAAACAAACAAACAAAAAAAAAAAACTATCATTTTATCCAGCAATCCCACTACTGGGTGTCTACCCAAAGGAAAGAAATGATTATATCAAAAAGATACCTGCACTCATGTCTACCACCGCACCACCCACAATTGCAAAGATAGGGAATCCACCTAAACATCCATCATTAGAAGATTGGACAAAGATAATGTGGTACATGCATACCGAGGAACACTATTCAGCCATAAAAAAGAATGAAGTCATGTCGTTTGCAGCAACATGGGTGGGTGGAAGTGGAGGCCATTATGTTAAGTGAAATAACTCAGAAACAGAAAGCTAAATACCACATGTTCTCACCCACAAGTGGGAGCTAAATAATGTGTACATGTGAACATACAGAATGGAGTAACACACGTTAGAGGCTTAGAAGGGTAGAAGAATGGGAGGGCATGAGGGAGGAGAAATTACTTAATGGGTACAATGTACATGATTTGGGTGATGGTTACACCAAAAGCTCAGAATTCACCACTACGCAATAGATCCATGTAACAAAACTGTACTTGTACTCCTTAAATTGATACAAAACAAACAAACAAAATCTCTGAGCAAACATCTTGCAGGGTTAAGTCAATTAAAGAGAAAATTCTTTCATTATCGGACTTCTTGGTTGCTAAAAAGGAAAAGTGAAATGTCGCCAGATCAACATTTACTAAACTCTTAAGGTGCTTGGAATTTCCTTGGAATCAAAACACACGTTCACTGACCCCTCTATATTCTGTTAAAACAAACCAAGCGTGAGTAGGTTACCGAGTAGGGACTCTTTCTAGGTTTGCCTGGCAACATAAAGCTTGAGCTCTGAGTGAAAACGTAGGGCCCATTGTTTCATTCCATTGTTTCTGAAGTCCCCCTTGAGTTGAGGAGGTCTCAAAGGGAATGCTGAACTAGAAACAGGGGGGCCCACCCAGCTTCCCATGTAAGAAGCGGGGAACTGGAGTCAAATATCCTTGAGTATCTCTCCTGTTTTTTTCTTTCTTCTAACTTGGGTATTTTTACAAACTTCTATTGTTCTGCTATTTCCTTCTTCCCACCCTCCTTCCCTCTCTCTTCGTAATTTGAGACAAGGTCCCACTCTGCTGCCAAGGCTGGAGTGCAGTGGCACAATCATAGCTCACTGCAGCCTCCAACTCCTGAGCTCAAGTGATCCTCCTGCCCCAGCCTCCTAAGCAGCCAGGACTACAGGAACACGCCACCACATCTTGCTCGTTCTACTGTATTTTCTTAAAAAATAAAGCCAATTGTTGACAAAAGGTTGGTTGGTTTTTTATTTGTTTGTTTGTTTGCCTTAATGTGTGCATTTAACAATCCTCTAGCTGATGATAAGGGATTTATACAATTCTGCAATTCTTCTCATCCCCAGAAGCTGGCAATGGGGAGGCTGCAAGCCCTCCTCTGGGGCCCGTGTGGAAAAGTTGTGAATACCGATGCACTATGACCCAAATGCCAAGAGCTCACAAATGCTCAGAAAACACCAGCATCTCTTCATGGAGGACACAAAGGCCAAAGTGGTAGGACTGCTCCTCTCCCTCTCCTGATCGTGTTCACGTTGCTCTCTTTCTACCACGAATAGGTTTGTCTAAAAGGGGACAAAAAGAAACCAACACAAATGCATTGCTGAGCCAAAGACTGGCTCTTTTCTTCTTACTTTATGTCTGTCTCATCCCAGAGGGTTTCTCCTTTGAGGCAGTGCACTGCCTACTCTCTGATGCCAGGTGGGCACGATGAGGTCACAACACCTCCTAGGATCCAGTGAGCCACATGCTTCCTTGGTCCACCCCACACCACCCCTCCAGCTCCAGGAGACACCTTATTCCACCAGAACCTACAACGCAGCTGCATCCCGCCTCACTGAATGGACAGAATTTCTCCCTTCCACTCTCAAAATAAGATGCAGCAGGGAATCACTTCCACCTCCAATTCTTTAAGCCAAAACCTTCACCATAATTTTTTACAACTCAAGAAAACACAGCGACTGCTCCAAGTAACCCCCAAAAAGATACTCAGTTAGCCTAACTGTTCAACAAATAATGATGATCATTATATGCGAGTTATTGGCTGTAGGAACATATGAACATACAATTCCCAGAAACACCTAAGGCCTTTCCTAAATCATGGGCAGGTCACACCCCCTCTCTGAATTCTATGAATACCTGAGCATTCTCGTGCATCATTACTCAGAAATTGTGTACATTCGTGCTAATTCCAAAGTAGTTGTTTCCCTACTCACCTCCCACCCCAAATGCAGAGATTACATCACATCACACACATCGAGATATTTTGGTCTTTGTAGGCCTCGTAAAAATAGATTTGTTATATCCAGGCATTGCACATAGAGCCAGTAGCATGTTATTTGCAAGATACGCGTTAAAAGGTTGACCCGTATTCGTTTAATTTTGCTTCTACCCCTCCAGGCTACACAAGCTCAATGGACCACCTCAAAGTAAAGGCTTTTCCAGAAACCCACCAGTACAGAGCCCTTTTCCTCCCTTCAGACCTTCGGTCCTTTCTGCATCCCTGTAGCCCAGACAGTGATGCTCTATGACAAGCATCTTGTCAGACTGAAAAGAGCATCCACGGTTTTTAAATCTCTCAGTGGGGTGTCCTGAATCTGCAGGAAGTGGTGTGACCCGAAACAGATTTCATTTTCCTTTGAAAATGAGACTGCTTCCTGAGATATGGAAAATGCTGCCCAGTACATAGTAAGTACTCAAGAAATAGTAGTTTAAACTACTCTAGAGAGCACAACCTGATGTATCTTGAGAGCCCCTTATGGGAAAATTATCGACATCGTTCGAATTTTACCATGCTGGAGAACAGCTGCAGGAAATGAAACAATCCCAGGCTGAAGTGGGAACCCACACCTAATCGCACGCTCTGAGCAGCTGCTCTGCCATGATGTCCTACCACGGATGCACATGAATAACAGAAAAGCAATTGAACATCCTTAAGTATTTTCATTTTCACAGCAGGGACCCAGGTTCTGCTATTGCTTTCCCGTGGCAACACTGAAAATCAAGGCATGAATGAGTTCTTTCTGAAGCTAAAAGTGATTATCTTTTACCAAACAAATGTGACTAGAGTGCTTGCATAGGAGGATGTCTGCAACTTACAAATGCGTGTGTTTCACGGCATCGTCCATCTTAATGTCAGCTCTTCAAAGACAGGACTGTGCATGTTGTTTTTTCCTTATCAAGCACAGGGACAGATGCAGTTGGTGCTGACGTGTTTTCTGTTATTGTTTGATAACGATGCCAACACCAACACTTTATGTCCAGGTAACTGTCTCTGAGTGTTCTGATGGTAGAGTACATCTCCCAGAGATCCAGTGAGAGCATAAATAAAGGAAGCAGCTCACATCAGCAAATACAGGGCTCCTTCATCTTTGGATAGAGGGAACAGCTGATGGTAGGAAGTGAAGACAGCCCTATGGGTGGCCCAGGAGACCAGTACAGAAGAACTGGCCAAGGATCTGAATAAAGCAAGGATTTAAAGTCAGGAAGGCTACAATCCACAGGAAGGAACCGGCTCCCCACAACGCCCTCAATGAGGGAACAACTGGGCCATGGAAGTGCCCCTCTATGAAAAGTCACGTGCCTCTGCATAGGGTCTAATCCCAACCATTCCTTTGCCTGGTAGGGGCCCCAGAGCCCCTACCATGAGGGACCTGCTAGGAAGAAAGATCCTTTAGCCTCCAGATGGTCAGCGTGTCTGTGGGAGTCAGCGAGGAAACGGTCAGCCCAGAAGGCCAATGACCGTGGGCAGGCAGAACTGAACCACAAGGCAGTGCTTCAAGAAGGTCCTGGCCTCAGTTACTGGAAGTTCAATGTCAAGTTTCCTAAGCACAAACATTATAGCTGAGTTCAGTTCCCAAGGGGGTGATGGATGCTTCCCCAATCATGGAGGGCAACCTTGCATTCAGGACAAGGAGCAGCCACCATACAGACCACGTGCAGTTTTCAAAAGCATTTTTCTTCTTTCCAAATAGATACTGCACCTCCAACTGCTTAAACCTAGGGAGGCAAGAAGTGCTAAGCTTCCCCACAAGGTTACAAGCTCCTGCACGGCAGGAGCTGTGTATTTTTTATTTTCCATCCCCACTGATGGGTGCTTTGAAGGGGCTCAATAAACGTTGGATGAATTAGACCCTGAGCTCCAGAGATAATAGCCTCATCTTAGCATTTACCTTGAGTATCCTGTTTCACTAGAGTGTTCAAAGCAAAGACAGGAACTTTGCTTTCAATCTCTAAACCAGTGGGAATGTTAATAAAGACACCTAAAAAAACCACAAGAAAAATGCAGAAAAGAGAAAAAAAATTACCAGGTCTAAAAAAAAAATGTGGGTGGGAAAGGGGGACTGGAGGCCAGGAGGAGTAGACACTAGTGATCAGAAGCAGAGTGAACACAGTGTCTCCAGAGGAACCTACCAGTTTAAATTCTAGACCCCACCATGGGATTTCGGCATCCAAATCTTTGAGGGTAGGGACCCAGAAACCATGATTTCAGACAAGCTCCTCTACTGCTCCCTAAGTTTCAATACCTCTCATCTACAGGTTTCAGATGGACTCTACCTAGAAATCGGTACCTAGGAGTAGCTCAAACTAAGAGATTTGGAGTGTTAAAAATATTTAACTGGGAGGCCACTAGGCTGAGATGGCTCCAGCACCTTGGGTTCCTAGGTAAGCCAAATGAAGCCCAATGTAAACTGTAAAGTGAAATGTAAGCCTAACCAATCAGAAACTGCCAACTAACCTCTAACTGGGGACCTCCCACCAGATCACACCCAAATAAGGCAAACCGCTAGCTGGAGCCAATCAAATAAATGCTTTACTTTGCTTCCAAGTTCAGCCTATAGAAGCCCACTGCTCATGCTGCCAAAGCCTAGATCTCTGAACCTCTTCTGTTTGTGAGGGCTGCCCAACTCATGAATCCTTTAATGCTCAAAGAAATTCTACTACATTTATTTTGTCGACAGTTTCTCTTTTAAAGGGGGATAAACTCAACCCCTCCTCCAAATGCCCACACTCTCCTCACTTCCTGCTTTCCCTTCTTGGGTCTTCCTGGGCTATGTCCCTTTTTAGGACTGAAGAGCTCTCTCATCTCCACCCCTTTTAGGGTGTCTTACTGCTTGCCAGAAGACAAAACCCTAACAACTCCTTTCCCAGACTCCCCTGCAGCTGGGTTCCATGTGTGGCCTGACTCTCCCCCAAGCAGAGACTTAGCCCTGGAAAGGAGGGAAGGCAGAAGCTGCTACTCATAGTAGGAAGCGATGAGATGCATTCAGAGTTGGCTACACAGCTTTCACAGCCCAGTGCAATACAAAAATGCCAGGCACCTTGTTCAAAAATCAGGAGGAAATACTTTCCCCTTTCTTCTGTGGTCTCTTTATTGACCTGTCATGGTATTTTTAAAATTTGCTATCTAATGTCACGCTTCCTCAGGTGGCAGTGGTCTCTGGGTGGGACCAGAAAGTGGGCAGCTGAACACTCACCCTGGAAACATGGTCAAGGGGTAGGGGACAGAACGGGCTATGGACAGAAGACGCATGGCCCAGAGCACGCACGTTGGACTTGACTTACAAAACGCAAATGCAAAGATACAATCAAGACATTCAAGATGGGCCTGGATCAATCACCCCACCTCAGATGCAAAGGTCCCAGGGACCAGGCCCAAGTTCATGAGCCTAGAATCGGGGGAAGGTGTATTCCACAAGCCAGCAGCATTTTAGTGACTGCCCACATTCTGATAATTCCTCAAGTTCCTAGCTTTAGCAAAAGAAGAATCTCTCCTAAAACCATCCTTTTTTTTTTTTTTTTTTTTTTCAGATGGAGTTTCACTCTTGTTGCCCAGGCCAGAGTGCAATGGTGTGATCTCGGCTCATTGCAACCTCCACCTCCCAGGTGCAAGCGATTCTCCTGCCTCAGCCTCCAGAGTAGCTGGGATTGAAGGCACATGCCACCATGCCTGGCTAATTTTTGTATTTTTAGTAGAGACGGAGTTTCACCATGTTGGCCAGGATGGTATTGAACTCCTGACCTCAGATGATCTGCCCTCTTCAGCCTCCCATAGTGTTGGGATTACAGGCATGAGGCACCACACCTGGTCTCCCCCAGATCACCTTGAAGATCATGCCTGGAACCTCAGCATGGAGTGAGTCTCCTTCCCCGCCTTTCATTGTCAGTGTCAGCACTTGAAATTCTCATCACCCTGTGCTTAAACCAGCTGGAATCATTTCTGCTTTCCGCAAGTGGATCCTGACCTATATAGTCAATTCCTTCCTGCAGCCTGGGCCTGGCTGCAATATGGCTGCCCCACCTACGTCAACCACTTCCTGGGACTTGAACACCGCATGAGGCCGAGCAGATGAGAACCACACGTTCAACCTCCTGGAAACAGTTTCCTGATTTTGTTTTTGTTTATTACCAGAAAAGGAAGTGTCTGAAAACTATGTATTTTCCAGCAGACAAACTGCCTGTAACCTAAACTAGCCTTTAACTTTCCAACCATGGGAAATGTTTCTATATCTGACAGAAACGCTTGAGTTCACTGACTCCCTGAAAGTTTACAGCAGGAAATGAGAAGGGACAGAAACGTAGAGCCCATTGTCATTGGCCCACTTGGTGGGTGGTTCCACATTCTGTCTGACTCTTGGCTGTGGTGGAGGCCGAGTGCTGACAGCCTCAACTGTAAGGCATTCAAAAAGCAAGAAAAATACAAGTGAAATTAACCCATCCCAAAATGTCACTTTGAAATTAGCTGCCTATAAAAACAAGGATCACACCTATAGGCTTAAACGTGGTTGAACAAAACAAACTTGTTTTGTATAAAAGAAATTACCACATCTTGAGATGCTTGGGGTAGGGTTGCTAGGTGGTGCCTGTTATTTTTTCTTGCCCCAAATCACAGCAATGAGAATTTGACATGTCCACTGTTCCTCCCTGTAATGTGGATGTTATCATGCTCTTAAGCTGAGCTCACCTCTTATAATGACAGAACTTCACTCCCATGATTGTGTTATTAGAGTGCAATGGCACGATCTCGGCTCACTGCAACCTCAGCCTCCAAGGCTCAAGTGATTCTCCTGCCTCAGCCTCCCAAGTAGCTGGGATTACAGGCATGTGCCACCACGCCAGGCTAATTTTTTGTATTTAGTAGAGATGGGGTTTCACCACGTTGGTCAGGCTGGTCTCGAACTCCTGACCTCAAGTGATCCACCCACCTCGGCCTCCCAAAGTGCTGAGATTACAGGCGTGAGCCACCGCGCCTGGCCATGTTTTAATGAGAGAAGAAGGCAACGCAACTTCCAATCCAGCACAAAAACTGCCTGACCAAGGGCAGACATTACAAGTTGAGTGGCCCAAGCTTGGGAGGACAGGTAAGTCCAGAAGGAGCTAGATTTAGGAGAGAGGGGAGGAAGGATAAAGGCCACAGGCCACGGGGGATGGTATTTTGTTTATTCACAATTTATTAATTAAAAAAAAATTCCAATAGCTTTTGGGGTACAAGTGGTTTTTGGTTAAAGGGATGAAGTTTATAGTGGTGAATTCTGATTTTTGTTTGTTTGTTTGTTTTTTGAGACGGAGTTTCGCTCTTGTTGCCCAGGCTGGAGTGCAATGGCACAATCTTGGCTCATCGCAACCTCCGCCTCCCGGGTTCAAGTGATTCTCCTGCCTCAGCCTCCAGAGTAGCTGGGATTACAGGTGCCCACCACCATGCCTGGCTAATTTTTGTATTTTCGGTAAAGACAGGGTTTCACCATGTTGACCAGGCTGGTGTTGAACTCCTGACCTCAAGTGATCCACCCGCCTTGGCCTCCCGAAGTGCTGGGATTACAGGCATGAGTCAGCGCAGACAGCCTTGGGTCTTACCTTTAAGAAGCTTCAGTCCAGAGGGAGATTGATCATCATGTAATCATACTGTGCAGAAAAAGTAAAGAGTGCCCTAAAACGGGTTCGTTAAACTACAACTGGCCCACCACCTGTTTTTGTAAATAAAGTTTTACTGGAACTCAGCCCACACATTCATTTACATATCATCTATGGCTGCTTTTAGACTACATCAGACTTGAGTAGTTGCCTATATGGCCTGCAAAGTCTAAAACATTTACTACTGGACCCCTTATAGAAAACATTCACTGACCCCTGGTCTGAAAGAGGAAAATAGGAACCCTAATTTGGACTAGAGTTTAGGAAGACTTCCCTGAGAAAGTGACATTTAAGAGGTATGTGAAAGATGAAGAGGAGGGAGCCAGGCAGAAAGGAGAGAACAAGAGAGATTTTAAGCAGAGGACTCTTAGAAAGGAGACTGGCATATTAAAGCATTCTAAGGACTAAGGCAAACATGACTAAGAGAAAGTAGCTGTTACAGGATTTCTGCCTAATAATGAGTAGTATTACTATTAGTAGCCACGGGAGAAATAGTAGCAGTAGGCTGGCATTGAACAATTACTACGGACCAGGCTGTGTTTGGAGCACTTCAGATACATTAATTCTTTTATACCAAAGAGACTTGTGATTTCAGTATGTTTGGAAATAAGGGGCATGAAACTGCATCTGCAGAGCCTTCACATAAAACTGAGAAAACGTCAGTTGGACACATCAGAGAATGGGGGGTTGGGTGGGCTGACAGACACTTGGGGATGCCTAAATCCCTGTCGCCTACCCCTCTAAATACCACGCTGGCCATGTCATTTCTTACTGACACATAAAACAGTCTCTAAAACAAGACAATGTCATCACTTTAATTAAAGTTCATTATTGATGTTTAAAAGAAAAATACTCTTGGCTGGCAAATAATGAACCTTAGTTGTGATTTCAGACTTTCTATCTATATTGAGAAATACTGGAAAACAAGAAGAATCCTCATCTTCAAAATAAGAAAGAAGAATGGATTCCGGAAAGGAGAAAGATAGAGGGTGCCTGACATCTTCCTCCTTGGGAGATCGCAGGGAGATGATGAAATGAAAGTTGTACAAGCATTTAGAAAACACTAAAGTGTGGACTTCAAGCCGGCCCAACCTTCTCTCCTGTCTTAAGTGACCAGGTCTGGAGAATGCCACCAACAGAGTGCATGTCAATTTCAGCCAAGCAATCAACGGGGGCGTTTTCATATTTCCTTTTGAAATAAGAAAAGACAAATTGGCTTTTTTAAGGAAAAAAACAGAAAACAAAAACAGCTGAGCGTGGTGGCTCACGCCTGTAATCCTAGCACTTTGGGAGGCCGAGGGGGTGGATCACAAGGTCAGGAGTTCAAGACCATCCTGGCCAACATAGTGAAACCCTGTCTCTACTAAAAATACAAAAAATTAGCTGGGCGTGGTGGCATGTGCCTGTATTCCCAGCTACTTGGGAGGCTGAGGCAGGAGAATCACTAGAACCCAGGAGGCGGAGGTTGCAGTGAGCCGAGATCGCGCCATTGCACTCCAGCCTGGGGGACAGGGCGAGACTCCGTCTCAAAAAACAAACCAACCAACCAACCCTATTATGTAGATTTAGAGCTGCCTACGTGAACAGAAACAGAGAGAACAGTCAAGTGAGCAGGGCCGGGCTTCTTCCTGGGTCTTTCCCTACGTGGAAATACATGAAGCCCACCAAAATGAGAAAAGCCGAAGCTATTTATTCAGAGCTTGCTATAATAAGAAGTCAGCCACTGTCACCTGTGTTTGGTAGAAACTCAAAGGCAGGCAGAGAAGTGTGACACTTTTTAGTGGAAGAAGGGAAAGCTCTGGGTGGCAGCTGTTGGCAGGTGCCGTAGGGGGATAACAAAAGCAGCCCATCCGGGTGATCGGTTACGGGAGCATATTTGGCCTTCTCTGTTTGGTCCGAAGTTGGAAGTCACGACAAAAATTAGGGCAGCTGCCAGTAATTGATCAAGTCCTGGGCATGCCGGGCCAATTGCTACAGGGGTTATTGGTTGGTTTCCTGGACTGGCTGCTGCAGACTGGAAGTCAGAACTCCACTTTTATATAAGATCTGGCCATTGCCCACTAGAATAATCAATCTCTGTCCCTGACCCCTCTGTGTCTAACACGGGGAGAACAGACTGTTCCAGTCAGCTTTCTTGAAAGCGGCATAAAGAAATTTTAGAAAGCAGACAGAGGAAAAACAAAGAAATGAATGAGCCACAAATTCAGAGAAGATAAAATTAAAAATCGGTTAGCTATCTTCTCCAAGGAAAATCGGAGGCATAAAGATTGATGCAATTTAAATGTACCACAATAGGTAGCTAAAACAATTGTCAGCAATGTCAGCTCTCATGTGACCAGTCATTGTCTAAGTAAGTGGGTGGCTGGTTCATGTGTCACCAGCAATTCCACCTTGGGCAAGTCACTTGATCTCCACGAACTCTCATTGTTCATCTCCAAAATAAACAGACTGAATTAAAATCTCAAGTCCTTTATAGTTCTAAAATTTTCTGCTTCTGTGATTCTAATCATGGATGGCTCTTTTATTCTACAGGCGGCAGCTTTACGTCTGCCCAGTTAGATACATATAATTCATTATGAGCTGATCTGGAAAACAAAACAAATCACATTGTGTTTTGTTCAAGTGCATTCATTCAACAATAATTATGGAACAGTAACTATGAATAAAGTACTCTCCTAGGTGCTAAGGGAAAAAGCAAAAAGACTGAGACCCAGGGCCAGGCAAAGTGGCTCACACCTGTAATGCCAATGTTTTGTGAGGCCGAGGCAGGAGGATCACTTGAGGCCAGGAGTTCACGATCAGCCTGGGCAACATAGCTAGATTTTTGTAGATCCATCTCTGCAAACACTTAAAAATTAGCCAGGCATGGTGATGTGCACCCACAGTCCGAGCTACTCGGAAGGCTGAGGTAGGAGGATCGCTTGAGCCCAGGAGGTCGAGGCTGCAGTGGGCGATGATGGTGCCACTGCACTCCAGCCTGGGAGACAGAGTGAGATGCTATCTCTAAAAATAAAAAATAAAAGACTGAGACCCAGCACCAAAGAACTCTAGTTGAGAAGTAAAGATATGCATATCATTAACTCCGCAGCAAGAAATAAAGTATTCAGTGACCTAAAATGAGACAGAAAGTGCTAGAGAAAATGGCAAATAGTCTGTACAGGCTGCACGGCCTCCCTACAGGCTCTAGAGAAGGATCAGCTTGCGGTTGTGTTTTTAGCATATTATAATTGGCAAAGAACTTGAGCTTGCTTTCAGTGTCATTTGCTCCTGTTCTTTCCCCTTGGCTCTGAGGTTTGGCACATCAGAGTTACCCTAGCAGGTCTCTACTGCAAAGGGCATTTAAAAGGAGGGTTTATGTCAGAATATCAGCAACTCTGTATTTTACAAGATGTTCTGATCAGAAAAATCCCGGACTCAGAAATTACTAAATAACTGCAATGAAGGAGGACAAATGTTCCAAGGAAGCTGACTTTCTTTAAAGTCTGTGTTCCTAGGAAGTAGTAAATGCTGAAAATTACTAATTCCTGCTGCCCCCTGCCCACCCCTATCTGAAGCTACTCCCTGTGTTGGAGGAGCTGATTTTTAAGACAGGCAGTTTCTGAAGACGAGACATTTTCACTGGTAAGAAAAGGGCCAGGGAAGATTTGTTACTTGCTCATTCCGGGCTGGGGAGCCTGCTCTTTCATTTCTGCAGCTCTGCTGGTATCATCCAAAAATGCTTCCATTTGCTCTCATTTAAGAGAAATGCATGCAAATCACAAAAGGCAAAGCAAGCACGGTCAGTGAAGCTCAGCCATGGCCTGCGGGCTTCGTTTTGAAACCACCTCCAGCCACATGGAGGTGGTCAGCCTCTTTTAGACACCAAACCATTCTGGGTCACATTTTGTATGTTTGCACAATCTGTTCCCTATTTTAAAAATTATACAGGCTGCGCGCAGTGGCTCACGCCTGTAATCCCAGCACTTTGGGAGGCCAAGGTGGGAAGATTGTTTGAACTCAGGAGTTTGAGCCCAGCCTGGGCAACATGGTGAAACCCCATCTCTACAAAAAAATTACAAAATGTTATCCGGGCATTGTGCTGTGCACCTGTGGTCCCAGTTACTTGGATGAATTGAGCCTGGGAGACAGGAGGATGGCTTAAGCCTGGGAGATGGAGGCTGCAGTGAGCTGAGATAGCACCACTGCACTCCAGCCTGGGAGACAGGGCAAGACCCTGTCTCAAATATGTGTGTATATAATGTGTCCCTTTATATATATGTATGTATGTATGTAACATGCACCTGTATATAAATATGTGTATTGTATACATGTATATATAGGGGCATGTTATATATACACACACACACACACGCACGCACACACACACACACACATATATACATATACATGTATATATACAAGCACATATATATGTATGTGCATGTGTGTATGTGTGTGTGTGTGTGTGTGTATATATATATACATATGCACTTTAAATTGACACAACTCTCTTGAGTTTGATGCTGTCACTTCTTGAAAAGAAGTTGAGAATGGCAACATGGCTTGTGGTTTTCTTGGATGTCGGGTACAACAGAGTCTTCCGCCCTCTACTCCTTCCTCTGCAGGATGTGGGAGAGCGTTGAGCAGGTGCAGGTGGTGGGGCAGGAGATCTGCATGCCAGGAACAGAAAGTTCCTGGAGACCAAGGCTCCAGGTCAGTTCGCAAAAAGAAAAAAGAAAGAAAAGAAATCACCCAAGTACCGACTCAATATTTGCTCCCTATTTGTCACAAATCCCAAAACAATTAGCGAGCACTTATTGAGAGCACGGTTTCTCTTTGTTTTCCAGCAAACTCTCATGGGTGTGCCTCTTATTTACATTCTGTGACTAAAAGCCCTTAAGGATGAAGCTAGTTTGCAAATTTGCTAAGCATGCAGTCAGCGAATATGCAGGGTGTCCGATCATTATTCTTAACAAGCTCGTCATCTTCCTGTGGCCAAACCAGCTCTGAAATTCTCCCCACCCAACCACTATTGCAAACATCTGGCAGAGCTCCGTGCCTTGCAGACTGTCACCCATTTATGGGACAAAGGGACAAAGAGCAGCTGGGGTCCCCAAATGCCCTGCCAATTTCCATAATTACTGAGCCATCCAAGTTTCTCCGCTCCCTTGGAAATATTCACTTACTTTATATTATCTACGATCTACCAACTCATTTCAACACAACTTAGCTAGGCACTACTTAATATTCAAGTGCTCCCACAAAGCTGCATGTACATATATCCTTAAATTTTTAAGTCCAAATCACCGAGAAAGGCACTATTTAAAAGAGCTTGAAGGCAGAATCTTTAATACATCAGTAAGTGCTTTCTATAGCACAGCCATTCCCTAATTTATGTCTCTGGGTTTATTGATGACAGGTCATACATCTAAAAAAAACAAATCTACGGAGATGCTAAGGCAAACTCTATTCTCTCTTGAGCATCAGATAAGACAAGGGGGAAAATATTTTTCTAAAATGATATGTAAATAGGAGTTGTTTTATTACAAGAAGGAAAGGAATTCCACTGCAGCCTGCATGAGCCACTCCATCTGCACATCCTAAGGAGTCCTCCCTGCCCTCTTCTTCCAGCTGTGTTTGTTAGTCTGGTCCAATAAATCTCAACTCGGGCTGCATATGAAGCCACCTGGGGAGACTTTTTTTTTTTTTTTTAATGATGTCTGGACCCCAGTCCCAGAGAGCCTGATTTAATCCATCTGGAATAGACCCAGGTGGTTTTAACATGCCGCCAAGCCTCCAGAAGCCCCGGCTGTCATCAAAGCTGCTAAGTCACTGTGGATCCATCACCTAACCCAGAACAAATGGAGACAACTAAGAAGTCAATGCGTTTTTAGCTCCAAGTCTCCCTGAATTTTGCATGCGGGATATGATGAGAGGGGCTCCACACTGTTGTCTGTGCCTGCTTATTTTGGGAGTCAGAGTATATTCTAGGAAAGCGATCGTGGGCTGGCTACTCCTCAGTCATTGCTTATTAATTTTCGGTTATTTACCATCACAACCTCTCTTAACATTGCAGAGAAGTTTGTTTTCCCTTAAAAGGAAAGGAACCCATGAAACCAGAGCATGGGACTCAGAGATCATTTCCAACTATCCAACTTACCAAGGAGGAGCCTCAAGCCCAGAGTGAATTAAGTCAAAACCGCTAATGGGAAGATGCCCCGAGTGAGAGGTAACCAAGAAAACACAACCATGGTCCCCATTCTCCTGTAAGGGGTTTCAGAGCAGCCTTCCTGTGAGTCATGGTCCTTATCAGCAGGAGAAGCAACCTAGAAAAGCACTTCTCCAAAGCCGCTCCCAGGCCAGACAAGTTCTCACCTGTCAGTGATGAAATCAAAAAAATAAGTATGGGAACATGAGGGACTTGGAGGTTTGCTTTCATTTATTTACTTAAAAGACTGCTCTTTTTTATGAGATTACATCCATCCCGTATTTTTTATGATTTTAAGTTTTTTGTTGTTTTTTTTCTTTCATGAAATGATTTTAACAACAGACAAGAGGTGAGCAACAGCCTAGGTCTGGTGAGGGGGCAGCAGGAGGGTGGCGGTTCTCTGCAGCTCGGGACACAGCAACTTACTCTCAAGGCTGCAGGTGGGCTGTGGGTCAGGCTAATCCTGGATCTTCTCTCAGTACTAGTTTTGGAGAATGGGTATTGTTTTTAACAAAGGAGTAGATTTCCTAACCAGATAAAGCTAACTTTTCGTGTATGCATCTATCTCCCTTCTTCAATTTTTTTTTTTTTTTTTTTTTCTTTTGAGAGGAAGTCTTGCTCTGTCGCCCAGGCTGGAGTGCAATGGTGTGATCTTGGCTAACTACAACCTCTGCCTCCCAGGTTCAAGTGATTCTCCTGCCTCAGCCGCCCAAGTATCTGGGATTACAGCTGAGGAGGCCAGATGTCTTCAGCTTCAGTGGACTGGAATCGACTTTCTTTAGCCATGACAGAAATGCTATAGTTTTGTGTTAGACTGCTGTTACTAAGAAACAGAATAGAAACAATTTTTTAAATATTTAAAATGTTTTCCAAAAATGTTTGGAAGACTTTCTCCAGGTTTGGTGGGAGAACGCCACTGTGCATTAATTCATGGTGGGGCTTCCATAAATGTTTGGATCTATAAATACCTATGCTCGGAAGGGCTCCATCCAAGCAACCGTTTGTCATAGCAGTGACCTTGGCCAATTTCACTCTTGTTCCAAAAGGCTGAAAGAAGCTGATGATGCTGGTGGCTTACCTGCCACTGCTGACCTTCAATTAAAACCTGTGACAGATGCCACAGAGCACATCAGCCAATGAGAAGAGGAACGGCCCTGAGCAGCACAGATGCTGCGTCCAGAAGCCTCCATGGAGTGTCCGAAGGATCGAGATGGCAGGTCACTGAAGACTGGCTTTAGTGATTGACGTGGTTTGGCTGTGTCCCCACCCAAATCTCATCTTGCATTGTAGCTCCC